>NC_000011.10:55434164-55737195 GCF_000001405.40 Homo sapiens | reverse complement strand
AGAAAGAAAATATTCTCAATAATAATCTAATCTGGATTGTTTTACATCCATCCAACATTATTATATACAGTCAAATTAAAGGAAGTACAGCCATATGATTAAATTAAAGGAAGTACAGCCATATGCTGAATTGAGGGGATTAACAATGTTGAAGTTTGAACCAGGTTTTGCTATAGAGAAAAATATCATATGCTTACAGGAACAAGAACACAGACACACACAATGAGGAAGAGCTTTACTCTGCTTTAGTTTACCAATCTCACTGTAGTGTCCTCCATTTGTGGAATCTAACACTGTGAGTATCATCCAATCTGCCGACTTAAAATACCCAAATCAGAGAAACATTTCAGGTAGCCCGGGCCAAAGCTAAAGATTTCTTTTGAACTAAAATTGTGTGTGTGTGTGTTTTTTTTTTTTATTTTCCCCAAAGCAGATTAGATACAAGCAGTCATGCTCAGATAATTTATTTAATAAGTAATTTATTTAATATGGTAATTTATTTAATAAGTAAAACTAATTAATAGTAGATGTGTAAGTGAAACAGGAAAGAAAAGACAACCAAATAAGATGCACTGACAAGTCAGCTACAACTACAGGACAATGAAGCTTAGTCTCATGAGAATAGTCTGGAAAATAGTACAGAATATAGCTAATAATCACTCATCAAGAATAGATCACACTGGAATTTTTTTTTTTTTTTTTTTTTTTTTTTTTTAGATAGAGCCTCACTCTGTCGCCCAGGCTGGAGTGAGGTGGCACAATCTCGGCTCACTGCAACATCCGCCTCCAGGGTTCAAGCGATTCTCCTGCCTCAGCCTTCCGAGTAGCTGGGATTACAGGTGCATGCCACCAAGCCCGGCTAATTTTTTGTATTTTAGTAGAGACGGGGTTTCACTGTGTTAACCAGGATGGTCTTGATATCCTGACCTCGTAATCTGCCCACCTCTTGGCCTCCCAAAGTGCTGAGATTACAGGCATGAGCCACCACACCTGGCCCTCACTGGCATCTTTTACATCAACTTTTATCACTCATTGAATGAGATCTGTTTGTTTGGATTCATTGCCTCAAACATCTCACTTGCCTCACCTTTGCGATGATCTAACTACTGAGCTTCAGAAAAATTCCTTAGGCAAAACAATGATGATTTGGACAGTAAGAGATTGGACAGTATTTTAGTTATTTAACTAATATTTATTTTCTTCCATAATTTATGAAGATCAGGAATTCAGAAGCAGGTGAGGTGGGTGGTTCTGGCTGAAAGTCTCTTCAGAACTGTGGTAAACTTATGGCTCAATAAGGTTGGAGATTCCACCTTTATACTCACTTCCATGATTATTGGCAGTTCCTCACTGGCTATTCACCAGAAGCTTCGGTTCCTTCCCATGCTTCTCAAAAGGGCAGATCAAAGCATGGCTATTTGCTTATTCCAGATGAGGGATTCAAGAGAACACACAAGCTGGAGACCTTTGTGAGCCAATCTCCCATTGACACACTGGCACTTTTGCAGTATGCTATTGGTTACCCAATCTAGGAGGGGACTACACAAGGGTACTAACCGTGTATTTTATGTTCTATATTCTGATGCTTTGACATCTTGGGCCTTGTGAACCCTGGAGGGATGGGCCCACCCATGGTCTGCCAATTCTTAGAGACGATAAACAACTCACCCTAGAGTTGCAAACTAACAAATCCACAACCACTGCTCAGGTCACCTCCTCTACCAGGCACTCATGCTCTGGGCCATTATCCTCCTTCCTAAATCATCCCTAGGGCCAGGCACTAGACACCTAGGGAAAGCCTCTAGACACAAGGGCCTGCTGAAATTATTCAAGCTAGCCAATTGCAAGTCCGTTCAGCAGTTCCTTTGTAAAGATCCCTGCTCATATTTCACCGGGCGCGGTGGCTCACGCCTGTAATCCCAGAATTTTGGGAGGCCCAGGTGGGCTGATCACTTGGAGTCAGAAGTTTGAGACCAGCATGGCCAACATGGTGAAACCCCAACTCTACTACAAATACACAAAATTAGCCTAGCGTGGTGGCAAGCACCTGTAATCCCAGCTACTCTGGAGGCTGAGGCAGGAGAATCGCTTGAACCTGGGAGGCAGAGATTGCAGTGAGCTGAGATTGTGCCGTTGCACTCCAGCCTGGGAACAGAGCAAGACTCCATCTCAAAAAAAAAATTCTTGTCATATTTCCCCTCACTCCTTCCACTTCTGGACCAACCCTGGTGCTTGTTTGTGTAGCCCTGTGGAACATGTCATGCCTCCTCTTTCTAGGGATCTGTAAGTATAATAAAATTTTTCTTTTAACACAATCATGTCAATGTCTCTATATTTTACCATACCTGATTAAAACAGATCTTGGGGACCTTTCAAACAAATGGATCATTACAAGAAAGTAGAAATTATTGGGTGCCATTTTGGGGATGCTACATGATGCCTTCTGATCTACAATGACTCTTGTCCCTTCGCCACATAAAAAAAACACTCAAATCTTCCCAAGGGCCCAAATGCCTTATTCCACCACAGCATTTTGTTAAAGTTGACAATATGTAATCACCATCAGGACCAAATATAAAGGAAGCTCCATGGATGTATTGTCTTAATTAGAGGTTCTCAAGTCCAGTTTCTCTCAACCTATGAAACTAAGGAGACAAGTAACGGTTACTCTATAAACCTAGCATACAATGTTGGTACTGGTAAGAGATATTGCTATAAACATTCTGGTTCAACATATGCAAAGGAATTACTCATCCATTGGAATTCTGAAGTCCAGCCAGGGAAATTTAGAAATTTCTTTGGTTAAATTGCAAAATCTGGGAATAATTAGCCTAATTAGTCTCGGTTCCTTAGCTCTCACCTCTGGACTTTTGGTACCACGGTCTGAATCATCCTTTCTTCTCATGAAATGTGGGACATATTTGCAACTTAGCAGGTTTCTTAGCTTGTTTTCTTCTAATAGAATTTTGATAACTCATAGGCCCCTTTCAATTTTTTTCAGTCACTGTGTCTTTCAATTTAAGGTAGTGATCTCTCTCTCTCTCTCTCTGTGTGTGTTTGTGTATATATGTGTGTGTGTGTGTATACATGTACACATATATACATAAATGAACTTTGTGGATCTTCTATGAATCTTATTGAATTCCACTATATTAGAGATAAAAACACATCCTTAAGTCTTTTAGATATAAGTCTTTCCCTACCTTGGGCTTCTATGAGATGGCTCAGAGATGGCACACTTAAGGTTCCTAAAAGCCTTGTTGTTGATAGAGGAGGTGGAGCACTTTTAATCTCTTTTGAGAGTCTTTTGTGTGAATATACTCTGAGATACCACTTTAGATCTTTCTGAGGTTTTTCTATTTTTTTTTAAGATTTTATAGTCAAATCCTAGACTTCATCTTTAAATCATGTTTTCACAGCAATGCCATGGATTTGATCATCCTTGGAAACCATTTCTTAATTTTGCCAACTTTTCCCATTATGGGAGGCTAAGAGATTTCATAGCCATCAAATCCTGGATCTTTCAACATTAATAATTTAGTTTGTTTCTTGCCTCTAATGCCTTACTCTAATCTTCAAGGAGAAACCAGGTAGAACTTTAAACATTTCACTTAGAAAATATCTGTTGTTAGATAACCCAGAATATTAGGCACATTTTGTACTTTTCAAATTACTATAGGCAATAGCATTACTAAACATCTGCCCTACATAACAAGAATATTCCTTTCTACAACTTCCAATAATATTTTTCTCACTCACCTGGAATCTCTAAACTGTAATCTTATCAAAGACCTCCAAAACATATTAAGATTTCAATGATATTTTGTTCAAAACTGACTGCTCATTTCCAAAGCCACCTTAACATCTTGGGTTTTTATTTGGCAACAATATATTCCCAGGCACCAAAAATCCACTGATATAGTTTGACTCTGCGTCCCCACCCAACTCTCATGTCGATTGTGATCCTCAGTGTTGCAGGAGGGACCTGGTAGGTGATTCACAGAGGCGGACTTCCCCCTTGCTGTTCTCCTGATGGTAAATGAGTTCTCAGAAAATCTGGTGGTTTAAAGTGTGTACACTTCCCCTTTTACTCTGTCTCTCCTGCCAGCCATGAGAAGACATTCCTGCTTCCTCTTCACCTTTCTGCCATGATTGAAAGTTTCCTGAGGCCTCCTTAGACCTGCCTCCTGTACACCCTGTGAACTGTATGTCAATTAAACCTCTTTTCTTCATAAATCACCAAGTCTCAAGGTAGTTCTTGATAGAAGTGTGAGAACTGACTAATACAGTTGCATTAATTATTCATTGACAGCTAAAAAGTATCCCCAAAACTTCGCAGTTTGAAACAATAAACACTGATTACCTCATGGTTTCTATGCATCAGAAATCCAGGAGCAGCTTAGCTCCAAGTTTAGAGTCTCCCATGAGGTTGCAACCAGCCTTCCAGAGCTACAGTAATCTCAAGGCTTAAACAATGTCAAACTTCTGCATCCAAGCTCACTCACAAGGTTGCTGGCACCTCTTGTTCCTTGAAGGCTGTTGGCCAGAAGCTTAGGTTCCTCATCCCAAAGGTCCCTTCACAGGGTTATTCAAATATGGCCACTTCCTCCCGAATGAGAGACCTAATGTAGGTGGAAAAAGACAGAGAGAGAGAATCCAGACTGTTAAGACTGAACCTCAAGTATTATGTATTCTCATTCCTACCACATGCTATTCATCACACAGACCAAGCCAGGTAAAGTATGGGAGGAGACTCCACAATGATGTGAATACCAGAGAATGGGATCATTGGGGGTTCCATGTATGGCTGACTACCACAATCACTGGGAGTAAAATTCAAAAGATAGAGGTGGGACAATAAGAGTGTCTGGTAAGGAATTATGCAAGAGAGGCAAGCTGAAGGTTACTTTTTGAATGGTTTGCGACAGCTTACTCAAGTGTGATATGTGTTGCCTCCATAACTGAAAGACGCAGTACATTTTAAATCACTTAATTGCAGTACAAATTGCCCTAAGTTGTCATTTGCTTTGGAGAGGATATCTCAACATTCTGCAGAACACAAGATCAAAAGAATTCTTTTCTGATGTTAAGAATACTTGTATTTTTATAGGATTTATTTAAGACATCATCTCTGACACATCAGTTTCTCACTAAGAAATTGAGGACACTTGCCCAGTGTCTTAAATATCTCTAGTTCTCTGACAGTAAATTATGCCAACATTTGGATGCCCTGAATTTTTATTATCTTTTTGCAAGCTCTCCCAGGCATTCAGAAGATCCCAGTTCTTGTAATCACCACCACTTCCATGACAGTTTTGTGAAACCCCCACCTCAGTCCTCCAGGCATTTGATTCAGTGAGCACTTCATTATAATCATGCACAAAGGATTATTTAGTTAGCCACGTTACTATACACCATGGATTACTGAATACAATTTCTATTTTAAAGATGCTTAGCCCTGTCTTCACGGCCAAGTGTATGATTAGATACCCATATTTGAAGGTCTAGTTCAGAGAACATTATTACCAAGAGTCTGAGTCTATTCGAGAAAAACACAATCTTTTCTAGGGATTTCAAAACATAACATTTAGTACAGAAAAATTATTTTTACAATTGTTAAACAATTGATGAAAAGGCAAAAACCCCACAAAACCTTAATATACCACAGTAGTGGTTACTGCAGAAAAGAACTACTATCTCTAAAGCTGAGGGATGCTGGGATTAATACAATGTGGAAGGATGTAGACAGATATCACAGATCTAGGAAAAAAAATGTTAATTATCTTACATTGAGAGATCTTTTACATTCCCTTACTAACTCTAATTGGTTTTGATAGATCTTTTTGGATTTGGATGTTCATACAATTATATTATCTTAAAACATGAAAGTGTTATTCTGTCTTCACTAATGTTCTTTTTTTCCTGTCTTACTCAATTGTCTAGAACAACCTTTCCACAGAAGTGGAAATAATGAACATTCTTCTCTTGAGTTGAAATTTAAAACAAAGCTTCTATTATTTCTTTTCTCTTTTTTGTTGTTTTTTCATTTTGTTTTGCTTTTTTTTGAGACAGAGTCTCACTCTGTCTCCAGGCTGGAGTGCAGTGGTGCGATCTCGGCTCACTGAAACCTCCAACTCCCTGGTTCAAGCCATTCTCCTGCTTCAGCCTCCTGAGCAGCTGGTATCACAAGCACACACCACCACGCCCAGCTAATTTTTGTATTTTTAGTAGAGACGGAGTTTTGCCATGTTGGCCAGGATGGTCTCAATCTCCCGACTTTGTGATCCGCCCACCTCGGCCTCCCAAATTGCTGGGATTACAGGCAGGAGCCACTGCACCTAGCCGATTATTTTAACCTTAATTGTGATATTTACCTACAGATTTGGTAGGTAAAAGATTAAGACATTTCTATTTCTATTTTTCTGGGAGCTTTTGTTTTCTTCTGTTTTGTTTTATTATGAACAAGTGCATAAAAGTTAATTGTATGCATCAATTAACTGGGCCACAGGGTGCCCAGATATTCAGTCAAACATTATTATGGATGTTTTTATAAGGGTGTTTTTGGATGAGATTAACAACTAAATCAATCAGTAGCCTAAGTAAAGTAGATTGCCTTTGCTAATGGGGATGGGACGCGTCCATCAGTAAATGCCTGAGTCTAACAAAAGGCTACTTCTCTCCCAAGCAAAGGAAAATTCTTTCCTCTTTCTGCCTTTGAACTGAGACATTAGGTGTTTGCCTATAGACTGAAACTGGAACATCAGCTCTTCATGGGTCTCAAAACTGTTGACCTTCTGACTGGAAATACACCCCTGGCTCTCTAGTTCTTGGGCCTTCCAAATTAGACTAGAATTTCATCATTGGCTCCCCTGGGATCCAGCTTGCTAATTTACCCTGAAGTTCTCAGCATTTGTCAGCCTTTATAATCGCATGAGCTAATTCTTTAAAATAAATAAATACCTCTCTATGGACAGATATAGATATAGCTAAGCAGATATCCATCCCCTTGGTTCTATTTCTCTGGAGAATTTTGACTAATACAAGATATAAATTTGAATAAATATCTTTATAAATTGAAATAAACATATGCTTTTCTCCCTTATTTTGCTAATATGGTAAATTCATTGATGAGATTTAAATGATATATCCACTTTAAATTCCTAGAATAATATACAACTTGTTTCATATATTGTTGAAATTTATGTGAAAACTTTGTTATTAGTATTGCTGTATTCTATATTCTGTTTATAAGTTGTTATCTAAAATAGCCAAGAATTACCTCCAGAAATTCTTCCTGAATTTTGGTTCTCTCAGATCCACAGGTTCAGGCTTGTTGTTATTTACTCTCCTTAGGATTTTTTCCTGGTGCTTAAACTGCATGACAACAAGTTTCAGGGGAAAACTTTTACCAACAAGGTATCCTTGAGCTTAAATATTCTATGTATCGAGAATGCCATAAGCAGGAAATACTGACTATTGAATCAAATATTTATCCTTTTCTTAATCAATCATATATGTTTCCATTTTCTTTATAGGGACTCTGTTTTCCTATTATGTTTGATAGCAGTAAAAACCACTCACGTAAGCAAAGTGTTATGTAATATAATCACGTAATGATATATTTGTCCAACACTAATACAATCTTTGATGCCGTCTTTGTTTAGTCAACATAATATGAAAGTTGACATTTACATAAAATGGTCCAGATATAATTTTTATAGTTGTTAATCCACTAAGAAGTGAGCATTAAACTATATAACTTGCTTTAGTATTGTGCATATGATAGCAAATGTCCTGCCACAGCCCTCCATGGGAAAAAAGTCACATTTATACCTACTGTATCCAAAAGTTTAAAAGAAGAGCAGCATACAAATGTATTTGTAGAAAAAAAATAGCCCATAGCTATCACTTAATATGACCATTAGCAAACTCACTTACATTATCTAAAATGTATTTATCTTCACAGTTAACATGTTTGCTTTCACACTGAAAGTATAATTTGAGAATTTGGGGGGGAAATTGCATTATATTTGTGTAAACTGCCCATTTATGAACATTTACCAAAATAAAAAAATCTTGTATTAAAGGGATTAGCAACTATTCTTTTTTTCTTTGATTTTTATTTTGTACTAAAAGAAACCTACCAAATTACAGCTTACATCTTCCAAAACAATATTTAAAAATAGTATATTCTAACTTTATCCTGGAAACCTTATTGAATATACTAAATATTCTGCGATGCATACTCAAACTTTCTAAATCCTTTTTTGTGCTCCTTAACATCTTTATTAAACTATACACATATGCACACACATACACACAGCTTTAAAAATACTCGACTAGAGCATTTAATTATGACTCATTATCTACAGTTAAAAATTAAAGTAAATCCTCTGTTACTTTTGCTGTATTCTGTAAGTGTTGAGAATTTTGTTGTATATTCCTAAACAGTAAGTTGCATAGACATGTAAGTTGGTGTAAAGCATTAAGGTAAAAAGTTATTGAATTTTTATTTGGAAATAAAGATAAACCTTGAGGGGAAACAAGTATCACTTAACAGCTTGGATTGGACCTTCAACACATGGTTGACTTCATATTCTGTGCTTGTAAGCCTTAATCATGACTGGCAAGACACAAGGAGAAAATGTAAGTTCTTATACTTAATCTCAACCAGCCATTTGGTTAAGGCAATCAAATTATTTCAATTATTTGAAAACTTCTCTAAAACCAATTAGAGCCATGGGTTATCTGTTTTCTGCAGTAAAGTTATCTGGCATTATCAAGGAAGAATGTGTTTAAAGATGTAAATGTTTCAATCAATTTTGAACCCAGTTTTTCATTTCTCCCTGTACCCATCACTCTTGACTTGTAATCTTGCAGTTCTACAAGAAATAGATAACTTTCTCAACTCTTGCTTTGGGGCTTGGACGTGATTTTCTCTGACTCATAAAATGTTAACAGGTGAGACCCAAACAGGAACGTTAAGTATGCTTTTATTTTTGGAATACTCTATTGTGGCTCTGCTTTCAACAAAGACTATCAGCCAAAGAGTCCAAAGAAGATGACATACATACAGGTCTCTAGTTCCAAAGGTAGCTGATCTAGTTACCCCATTCTTGACACCCAAATGGTCGAACTGATATCAACAGAGCTACCCCAGTCAAGTCACTTATTTGAAAGGATTGCTTACTGTTAGATATCACTGAGTTTATGAATATTTCTTTTATCAATACATAACTAATGCTTGAATAATGTATGTGTATTATCTCAATATCATTATCCTGGTTGTTATATTGTACTATCTTAGGGGGAAACTGGTTAAAAGATAATTGGAATTCCTCTATATTATTTCTTACAAAGGAAAATGAATAGAAAATTATCTCAATAAAATTTTTAATAAATAAATAACATGCACAATCATATTGGCATCAGTGGCAGAACTAGGGTGATGGGCATTTATTTGCAAAAATATTTACCATCTTCTTATTATCATGCATAAAGAAAAATATAATTTATAATACCAAGTATAACTTAACTTTACCAGATTCTGGACTTCGTAAGGAAGATAATTTTCTTATTTATTTTTGTTTGTCTGTAAATCTTCTAATGCCAAAGTTGCCCATACAGAATTAATTGTAATTATTTTATAGATAGTGTTTTATACTGAACAGCTCTTATCATAGTAATTTTATGTTATCAGGTAAACTTCCTCATTATAAACTACTATTCTTCAGATCATCTCAAAAATTTTTACATTTTGCAAGATTTAAATTGAACTGAAATTTGACCTGGACAATCACAATAAACGTATACTAACACAAAAACTTTTGTATTACAATATTCTCGATCAAAAATTTAGTTTAAATGGTCTGAGATTCCATACTTACAGTATTTATAACTTTAAAGTTATTTTACTAAACATCAGTGTGAATAGATATTGTACTGTCAGTTGGAGGGTTATCATAATTTCATGCAATGACTAGTTATTGAACAACTGCAGTGCTGCTCTCAAGGATAAATAATTAATATTTCTAGCATTACATTTTATGACATAATAATTTGGTAATGACTAACTTCCTGACTGTCTCTTTTACATCTTTGTTCCTGAGGCTATAGATCAAGGGGTTCAGCATGGGAATGACCACTGTGTAAAAGACAGAGGCCACCTTGACCATGAGCCATGAACTTTTGGAGTTAGGAACACAGTAGAGAAAAAGGATAGTCCCATGGAAAATGGTAATGGCGGTCAGGTGGGAGGCACACGTGGAGAACGCTTTCTTGCGCCCCCCAGTGGAAGGCATCTTCATGACAGTGATAAAAATGAAAGCATAGGAAGTGAGAATGATCACCAGGCTGCTTATTTCATTGAATGTTGCAGAAACTAAAATGACCTTCTGGCTCATGTAGGGGTCAGAGCAGGACACAGCAACAATGGCAGCGTGCTCACAGACAAAGTTATTAATGAAGTTAGTCCTACAAAAAGATAAAGTCAACAGAAAATATGTGTATGTTAAGGAACAAACTAAACTCCAAGAGTATGATGCAGCCACTAACAAGGAGCAAAGCCTCTGGGACATTGCAACTGTGTAAAGCAGAGGGTTACACACTGCCACAAATCTGTCATAAGCCATCGCTGCCAGCATGAATGTTTCTGTCACCACAAATATACAGGCAAAGAAGAATTGCATGATGCATCCTGTGAAGGAGATGATTCTGTCTTCCACAACCAAGTTCTCCAGCAGTTTTGGTGTAATTGTGGTGGAATAACAGAAATCAACAAAGGACAAGTGGCTGAGGAAAAAGTACATAGGGGTGTGGAGTTTGGGGTTGATCCTGATGACCATGATCATGCCCAGATTCCCCATCACAGTGATTGTGTAGATGGTCAGGAAGACCAGGAACAGGGGTATCTGAAGGTCTGGAAATTCTGAGAAGCCCAAGAGGATGAAGGTGACTCCAGCAGTCTGATTTTTTTGAATCCTGTGAGAAAAAAATAAGAAAGTTGATCCAGAGAAGTAGAAGCCAATATGTGCAATAAGAAACAGAAAGGAAGAAATATTGAGAGACTTAGTGGGTCTTTATTAAGAGTGTTGCTGAAAATTCTAGGTTTCCACTGTCAAATTATTTCAAAAGGTAGAGTACTTATATAAAAATTACAAGGTGAATAGGATTATTTTGTGAATGGAATAATAAAAAACAAAATTAAGACAGGAAAAACAAAACAGGGTATACCTTCCTATATTTCAGATAATAAGACAGCAGGCTTCATGAGAAGAGCCACTCTAAGTTTGCATGAATCTGAGATAAGTGCAAATATTTCTGTTGGAGGAAATATATACTTTTCTACAGTTTCATTCCTGCTGTACCTCTAAAGCTTTGAGACAGTTAACTTACAACTCTTAACAAATTGTAAAATGTTAACATTCCTGTAAAATGGTAAATTTAACAGTTTATTGGTGGTTTTATTTTTAACACCTTTCTCATTCCTTATAATCCAATACTTTCAACACATTCTGGAGCTGTGTTACACTAATATGCTAATCTTTCTCATGCATGTTGAACTCAACTTGAAAAAATTTTCATGTTATTTTTAATGATGTATTATATCACTTATGAGAAGATTATTGCAACAAAATATGTGATGTATGTTTCTGTAGTGATAAAATAGTTGAAGTAATTTTAAATGAAAAGTTTTTCATTTTCTGATGTGGCAAATCTCAGAAGACAGGTAGGTGACAAACAATAATAAACATGAAAGTACTGAGTACTGCAAATAAATATTAGTTTTTAGGAAAATTGCATTCTGTCCTTTTGATTTAAGTTTAAAGCTTTGCCAAGAATAAGTGTCAGGAAGACCCATCTCAAACAGGACACCATAGTATTCTTTCAATATGCCTTGATGCCACAAGGCATTTCCTCAATGGTAAAATGTGATAATATATTCATGATATAAAATTTAAATCAGTAGAATGGAAGCAGAAAGATTGCTAATGAATGTAGTGGTTATAAAACACAGTATAAAGCATATTAGATATTCACTTTTATATTTATTAGAATTATAGCTAATTAGTGTGGTTTCAGAAACCTTAAGTAGTTATTGAAATGAGGCCTATATGGGACAGCTATCAACATGTGGACACATTTGTGAATACAATGCAGAGAATCAGTTTCCTGAACCCACAAAATGGAAGTACTGTAGAATTTTATTTGTGGCTTTAGTCTAAGTCATAACTATATTTTCCCCATTCTCCTTTATGTTTTTCCATTACACAATAGCTTTCTCTAGTTCCCACAAGCTTGTGCCTGTAGGAAAGATATCTTCCAAAAGGACCAATTACTCAGCAATTTCCCTGAAACAATTATTTATAAAAATCTTAACACTATAAAACTAGATTATGACTGTATTTCCCAGTCACTCTCCTCAATTTGAAATGTCCTTTGCAACATCGCAAGAATAATTTTCTGTAATCACTTTAACCTGAGAGCCAATGACTTTAACAATTCCAAATGTTTTTTATTGATGAATGCATGAAAACTGCATTGTGCAGACTGGATTTTCCCAAACTGCTTAGATCTAGATACTCAATCTCATTACCACTAACACATTTTTCTCAAAGTCATGGTAGATGTATCAAGTTATTATAAAGCACATGCTCATTTACATAAAGTTTGCTTTCTATCTATTCTCACTTTTATAATGCTTTATTTTACCATCTACTCTTGTAAAGATTACTCATTGTTTCTTCTCCTCTGTATATATTGCAAACATTAGTGCTTATAACTCACAGTTACCATAAACCATATCCTATCATTTACAGATTTGGTTATTAGTCTCGCTTATCTCCTCAGAAAGTATAGAAAGTTTAAAGATAAGGCCAATTTTGCTTTATTCTTCTTTATCTGCCAAAGTATTGATTTCATTGCTGAGTACATGGTGGGAGCCGAATGAGAAAATCAGAATTGATATCATTTGAAAGGGAGAAGGAATCAGGATATAACAACATAGGTCCTCTGCTTGTTGAATGAACTAAGTGGATTTGAGGGCACTTCAACCTACACGTGTGTTTGTCTGGTACTAAGATTACCGGAACTCAGTATTTTCCTTCTGAAATAAAATTTTAAAAAAACTAAATCAACTCACCTAAATACAGAGGCATCTGAGTGATTCATTTACTGAAGGATCTTTTGCTGAAATTAACGAACTCCAATAATGCTCCCGCTTAGCACTTAATTAATAGAAACAAACCTGAAAACAACAGTAGGAGTGTCGAGAGTATATTTCCTTGAAGATTTTAAATGTTACTTTTTTACCCAACCTATTAAGAAAACTCATAGATAGCAGAGATAAGGTCACATCTAGAAACTAAGTCCTAGCACCAAACTGTGTCACAAATATTTGCCCCCAAGGCCTTGGGGACCTCGTGACTAGAGAATATCACTGAAGTATTGCCTTGGAGGCTACCATTTGAGCAATTAGATATAACACTGTCCCATGTGATATCTTGTTTGTATAGTGCCTTTCTAAAGCCCTTGACATTTATCTTACCAACTTCACTTAATTAATCGTAATAGTGAATATATCTTGACTTTACATAGGTGTAAAATACAAATGTGAAAGGGAAAAATCAGCTATAAAACAATAGTCCAGAGATAGGTATCATTACCTCATGTTGAATTTATTTTCTCTTTTTATGAAGATATATTTATGTTATTATATGTTGAAATACAGAGCTGACTAAATAATGCTACATCTTTTATTTATCCTTTGTTAGTAATACAAACTTCATTTGGTAGTCACACTATTGTTTTTTTTAATAGAAAACAATTTGTGTTTGCCTTTTTAAATATGGCTAAATGATCTTCAGATGTTTATGCTGACTGTTGAATCTGGAAAAAACTGGGTTACATGTTTCTAAAAATAAACCAGTTTATGGAAAATGCCACTTTATGGAAAGGATGATATATCCATTAATTTCGGTACTCTATCTAACATGCTTTTAAAGAATAAAGACTTATTTCTCACTAGTGCAGGTCCAAAATGCACTCCTAAACATTGGGCATCTCTGCTACATGTTAGTAATGCAGGGGCTCATGTTCCTTTCTACTTGTGTTTCGCCATCATCATGGTACATTTGAGGTTATAGTTGTATTTTGCATGTGAGGAAGAGGGAATCATGCAACACTCCTTTAAACGTGTCTTCAGAAAAAAGCTCGTTCCATTGCAGAGGACCTCATATCGCACATAGGGAAATCAAGGGCAAAAGAGCTGATGGTGTCTCAGACACGATACAACTAAGGAACTACAGATAGAAAAGCAATAGGAATCTGTTCATTGAGTATATTCGCCTGTGGTTTCCTTTTCTTGTAGTATCTTTGTCTGTCTTTGTTATCAACATAATGCCAGTTCCATAAAATGAGTCTCAAAGTGTTCTCACTTCTTTAATTGTTGGAATGTTTTTAGAAAGACTAGTGTTTGTACTTTTTATATGTTTGGTAGAATTCACAAGTGAAACCGTCTTGTCCCGCATTTTCTTTGTTGGGAGGTTTTTGATTACAGATTCAATCTTGTTATTAGTCTTTGATCTGTTCAGAGTTTCTATTTCTTCATGATTCAGTTATTGTAGCTTGTACATTTCTAAAAATTTTTTTTTATCTCTTATAAGTCATCCAATTTTTAGGCATACAATTGTTTATAGTAGTCAATTTTGATCCTTAATTTCTATAGCATTGGTCGGTTAGATGCAATGTTTCCTCTTTCATTTCTGATTATATTTGAGTCTTCTCTTTTTTTTCTTGGTCCACCTATTATTTGGCCAATTATGTTTATATTTTTTAAAAACCTGAGTTTTATTGATTTATTGTATTGTTTTTTATATTACTTATCTCATTTATTTCTTTCCTAACATTTATTATTTCCATATTTCTGTTAATTTTATGCTTCACATCCCATGGTCATGGATTAGAAAACTTAATGTTAAAATGTTAATTCTACTCAAATATATGTAATGATTTAATGCAATGTCAATTAAAATCACATAGATCTAGATTTCTTTTCTATTTTTACAAAATAGAATAGAAAACTAAAATTTTTGTAAACATACAAAAGATCAAAACAGCTAAAGGAAACAAGAAAAAAAAGAGAAAAATGCTGGAGGCATCACTCTTCCTGATTTCAAAATATATTACAAAATTGCAATAAATAAAATAGTATTGTACTAGCATATAAACAGACACATAGACCATTGGGCAGAATAGAAAGCCCAGACATAACCCACACACATACAGACATCTAACCTTTAACAAATGTACCAAGAATACATAATGGGAAAAAGGATAGTCTCTTCAACAAATGGTGTTAGGAAAACTGGATATCCACATGCAAAAGAATGACGTCAGGCCGGGCGCGGTGGCTCACGCCTGTAATCCCAGCACTTTGGGAGGCCGAGGCGGGAGGATCACGAGGTCAGGAGATCGAGACCATCCTGGCTAACATGGTGAAACCCCGTCTCTACTAAAAATACAAAAAATTAGCCGGGCGTGGTAGCGGGCGCCTGTAGTCCCAGCTACTCGGGAGGCTGAGGCAGGAGAATGGCGTGAACCCGGGAGGCGGAGCTTGCAGTGAGCCGAGATCGCGCCACTGCACTCCAGCCTGGGTGACAGAGCGAGACTCCGTCTCAAAAAAAAAAAAAAAAAAAAAAAAAAAAAAAAAAAAGAATGATGTCAGATCCTCTTCTGACATGATACACAAAAGTCAACTCAAAAAAGATTAAAAAATTAAATTTAGGGTCATTAACTGTAAAATGCCTAGAAGGAAATATAGGGGAAAATCTTCCCGACATTGGTTTTGTCCATTATTTCTTGAACATGGCAACAGAAACACAAACAATAAAAGTGAAAATAGGTCAGTGGAACTGTATCAAACTAAAAAGTTGCACAGCAAAAGAAACAATCAATAGAGTGAAAAGGCAACCTAGGAAATGGAAGAAAATATTTGCAAATCATATGTTTTATAAGAAGTTAATATGTGAAATATATAAGGAACTCCTACAATTCAACAACACAAGGGAAATAGCCAATTAAAACAAGCATAGGATTTAGACAGACATTTCTCCATTATGGACATACAGGTGGCCAATATGTACATGAAAAGACGATGAAATTACTAGTCATCTGGGAATTACAAGACAAAACCACAATGAGCTATCACCTCATACCTTTTAGTATGGCTATGATGAAACATAATAATAATAATTAGTGTTGCAAGGATGTGGAGATAAAGGATGCTTGTCCATTGTTGATGGGCATATAAAGTGGTGCAGCCACCATGGGAAACATATCAACGTTCCTTAAAATATTAAAACTAGAATTAGTATATGACCCAGCAATCTCACTTTTGGGTATGTAACCAAAAGAACTGAAATCCAGATCTTGAAGAGATATCTACACTACTGTGTTCACTCCAGCATTATTCACAATACTCAAAATATGGAAACAATCTAAAAGCCCATTGACAGACGAATGGACACAAAAAATCTGGTATATACATAAAATGGAATATTATTCAGCTTTAAAAAGAAGCGAATCCTGCTATATGTGATAACAGAAATTAACCTAGAGGGCCTTATGCTAAATTAGATAAATGAGCAACAGAAGTACTAATATGTTATTGATAATGACAGGAGGCAGAGAAATTCTAGGCAGACAAGGGCAGGTCTTTGGCAAAACCCCACCTTCAAGCTAAACAGCCTGAAACCCGTGGCCCTAAGTGAGAACTTCCATCCCTATGTGTCTGCTCTCCCCTGATTGGTTCTTTCTGAATAACGTCTTTTTACCAGTTGAATGTTGTCTTTTCCAAAACTACCTATGGCTCACCCCACCCCCATCCTGTGCCTGTAAGACCCCAGACCCAGCTAGCAGAGAAGAAAAGTGGCTGAACCTCAGGAAGAAGTGGCTGGATGTCAGAGAGAGGTGACTTTGACTTCAAAGACAGTGGCTGGATGAAGCAACTTGACTTTGGAAAAGAAAGTCAGAAAGGTGGATTGACTTCAGGGGAGAGCAACCTTCCCTTCCCATCCCCTTTCCAGCTCCTCCCTCTCCACTGAGAGCAGCTTTCATCATTCAATAAAATTCTCCACATTCACCATCTTTCAATTCGTCCACATGACCTCATTCGTCTTGGGCACCAGACAAAAATTCAGGATGCACCAGATGTGGATACCTAAAAGGTTTGTCACCCTGGCCCTTTGCCCTTACTGGTGGAAGGCAATTTCCTCATGTGATGAGGCAAAGGGCCCGTTGAGCTGGTAACACATGGCTGTCTGCAGAAAGCACAGCTAAGGAAGCATTTTAACACACCCTCTGGGGCCTGGGGGTCACGGGCACGGCCCCTGGACACTGCCCTGCGGCTCACATGGAGTTTGCTCCTGCTGGCACCAAAGCAGCTGGTTCTGCACTTGCCCACTCCAGTTCCTGTACTGGTTCACTCTCAGGCTCCCTTCAGCAAGGGGTTGAGCAGGGCAGACTGAGTAAACAAGGCACCCCCGTTGCAAGACCTGTGAAAGAGTCAAGAAAATGTCCTACACTATTATGATTCTACTTATATGAAGTATCTAAAAGAGCCAAACTCATAGGAGCAGAGAGTAGAAAGGTGTTTACCAGGGTCTAGGGGGAGGAGGAAATTGGGAGCTGTTGCTCAAGGGGTACGCATTTTCAGTTATGCAACATGAATAAGTTCTACAGATCTGTTATACAACGTAGTGTACAACGTATTTTAAATGATCTGCTAGTTTATGATGAAATAATATGGAAAAAACTCATAATTATTTTTGTTTAACTCTAACTGAAATTTAGTGTGTTTTTAATTATGAAGGTAGACCACAAACCACAGTACTGTTAGCAATACTCTAACCATAGAAATCACAGATATATTTTTATTATTTATATATTATAACCTACCTAAAAATATTACTATGATCATCCTTATTCCAAATTATAATAGTTAATGTGCATGTATGTAGATATTATCTAATATGAATAATAAAGCACAAATATTATACAAGTCCATAAAGTTAATATTTTTAATATTTGGTAATTTTATAGAAATATAATATGTTTGATTTACATTTATATCCATTTTATTTTTAAATGTTTTTCTAAAGAAGATCTCATATGCTTCACCAGACTATGAAAGGTGTTTCTAAGGCCAAAAAGCTATTACAGAAACTTAATAAATTTTGTGACATCTGTGAGGAACTGATACAACTTGCAGCAAAGATAGAGATATAGAGAACATAAAAAAAGCTAGAGAGAACACTTCAAAATATATATCTAAAAGTTTTGGAAAGCGATATTTTAGTAGATGATGTGACCACAGGGAATGAAAACTTTTGAAAACTAGTATTTGTGCCTTTTAAAAAAATTCATTATTTTGAAACTTCAAGCAATCATAGTGATATTTAATTTACATTCCCTTGAAAACATATATTGTTGGAATATTTTTGTGAGATTATTATCCATCTATATATTTTTACAAAGTAATTGCACATTAGTCTATTTTAATTTAATTTTCTTATTATTTGTTATATATATATATTTAGTAATTGACAACTCTATATATTGTTAATATACACTCCCAGTCTACAGGTAATTACTTCTAATCTATGGGTTGTCTCTTCTTTTTATAATGATCTAATTTGATGATAGGCAGTTTTTAATTATTGACAGTCTCATTTGTCGATTTTCATATAGATAATCACCTGTTCTTTATTCCAGAGGCCTTAGTGTTTCAGCTGTTATGGTTAATTAATTTGATAATAAATATCGAATTAATTTTCTATGGAGAGAGGTAGGAAATGAGGTTATTTTCCCCCATTCAATTATCCAGTTTTTTTCAGATATGTTTTCAAAGATCAATTGATTATATGTTTCTTGGATTATATCTGGATTCTATTTTATTTATTCTATTATAGTCTCAATTTGTCTGTCTTTATACCTAAACCATACTGGTTTGTTTCCTTTTGTTTTACAGTAAACCTTCAATTCCTCCAATCATTCTCTTTTAAAAATATTTTTGGATATTTCACTTACTTTGCATTTCTATATACATTATTACACAAATCCAGAATATCTGTTTTTCAAAACACACTCTAAAGAGGGTGAAAGATAAGCCACATATTCAAAGAAATATTTCAAATCACACATTTGAGGAGAAAAAAGAGTTGTATCTACAATATATAAATAATTATCAAGCCCCAATAATAAGAAAAGAATTGCAATTAAAAATAGGCAGAGTATTTGAACATAGACTTTATCAAAAAAATACAAATAACCAATAATCACATGAAAATATATTCAACTTAATTACTTATCAGATGAATGCAAACACAAATCCAATAAGATACCATTACATACTTGTAAGAATTTCTAAGATTGAAAATAATGACCATATAGTTATTTGTCCAAGATGGGGAACAATCAGAAGTATCATACCCAGCTAGGAGGATTTTAAATGGTACAGCCACTTTAAAGATCATTTGGAAGCTTCTTAAGAAATTAAATGTACACCTACCATATGACTCGGCTATCTTTCCTAGGTACTTGTAAAAGGAAATAAAAGTGCTGTATGTGCCTTTACAAAGATTCCGACAGAAATGTTCACAGCCATCTTACTGTAATAAACCCGTTTTCTTCAAAGTTATTGTTTTGTTTTCTCCTACAATATAGAAAGCTAATTATAGTTTACAAATTATAATTTACCTAATATCTATCTTTTTTTTTTCAAATAGGATTTTAAATCCAAGGACCTTTAGAATGTGCCAAGTATAGTTCATTTTATACTGTTTTCACATTCTCTAAATGCATTTTTCTTTTTTCTTAAAATGTTTTTGTTAACATACACAAAACCTATTAATGTACTTGACTGGAACATTTACTTAAGTGTATATGTCCTCTGTTTGATGAACAATTAGAAGTTAAATAAGTTATGCAATACTATAGTTATATAATATGATTTGTTAAAAAATATTTTTATGTATTGCTAAACAATCAGATAAATGGATTAGGTTAAATAGTTTTATAATAAACTTTATAACAAAGGAAATTGCCATTTTTATTTGAACATGAGAGTCAGGAATACAGGAACCATGATATATGGAAATTTACCAAGACTTTGTCTTTCCTCTTAAACATTAACTATCAACAGCAAGTGACAATCAACAAAAACAGTCATTTAGTTAAGTCGATTAAATTTCTCATCAATTTACAGAAGACTTTTGTCAAACTAGGACAAAAATTTATCTGGAATAAGAAGGATAATTTCCCATTAACTAAAATTTCCCAACAATTTAGATATATAGAAATAGTAGGCAGAATCCTTCATTCCTCTGTGTATCTACATTATTTGCCACGTAACTTTTCAATTCTACAATAAGAGGCAGATATCCTTCCTCAGTCATTAACTTTGAGCCCAGCAATGTGATTCTCTTTGCCTAAAATAATGCTAAAAAACATGAGGCGAATGGAAGCTTGAACTAGCTTTTGTTGTACATTTCCCCTTGTGACTCACCCATCAACACTGGAAGAAAATACTCCAGCTAGCCCAATGGTTCAGAGGACCATAGATACAGAGGCAGAGCTACTCAATCGTTATGTAGGTCTATGAGTTCCCGTTAGACCCGTTAGACTAGATAATATTAACCAAGATGCACCAGCTGATACTATCAGGACTGCCAAATCAATTGACAAAAAATTAATAATTACCTAATGTTATGTATCACTGACATTTATGGTATTCTGTTATGGATCAAATTTATAACTTATATGAAAATCAAGATTGTAGTGAATGACAAATTCAGATTTCAAAATGTCTATTTCTAAAATATGTGGCTATTTTCATTTTTTGATATATTGTGTACAATGATCAAATAAAATTTTATGTTAACCAATACAATTTTACCAAACCATATTCTGGACTTTGTGGGCAGACTTACGCCTTATACACATTTATAATATACCAATGTGCCCTATGTGGAATTAAATAAATATTACTTTTAAACTTAGTGTCTGAGTGCTGAACATGTCTTAGTTTACTGTATTGCATTTGCTATATCTTCCTTCATGGTAAGCTATAATTTTTCAGAACAAATCTACAAGCCCATTCTCCAACAACTGAAAAAGAACAGAAGGTTAACTGAGCAACAATAGGGTAATGTATATTAACTCAGAAATCTTTACATGACAAATTCTGAGTTTAATGATAAGTTAAATCATTAGAGATTAAATTACTGTGTTACTTGTTAGCTAATCTACTAGAATTTGAACAGATGTCAAATAACCAGTTAAGTAGGGGTTACATTAAGTACATGCACTGCTTTACTGTTTGAAAAAGGGATTTGGATTGTTAGCAATTCTACAACTTTTGGGCAGTTCTGCACAATATTCTTCAATAGGAATAAGTACGACTTCTAGATTTTATAATATGAGACATAATAATTTGGTAATGAGTAACCTCCTAACTGTCTCTTTTACATCTTTGTTCCTGAGGCTATAGATCAAGGGGTTCAGCATGGGAATGACCACTGTGTAAAAGACAGAGGCCACCTTGACCATGAGCCACGAACTTTTGGAGTTAGGAACACAGTAGAGGAAAAGGATAGTCCCATGGAAAATGGTAATGGCCGTCAAGTGGGAGGCAGACGTGGAGAACGCTTTCTTGCGCCCCCCAGTGGAAGGCGTCTTCATGACAGTGATAAAAATGAAAGCATAGGAAGCAGGCTGCTTATTTCATTGAATGTGGCAGAAACTAAAGTGATCTCCTGGCTCACACAGGGGTCAGAGCAAGACACAGCAACAATGGCAGCGTGCTCACAGACAAAGTTATTAATGATATTATTTCCTCTGAAGGATAATTCCAGTAGAAACTAGGTAAGTGTCAGGGAACAGACTATCCCCCAACAGTATGATGTAGCCACTAACAAGGAGCAAAGCCTCTGGTACATTGCAACTGTGTAGAGAAGAGGGTTACACACCGCCACATATCGGTCATAGGCCATCACTGCCAGCATGAATGTTTCTGTTACTACAAATATGCAGACAAAGAATAACTGCATGGTGCATCCTGTGAAGGAGATAGTTCTATCTTCCACAACCAAGTTCTCCAGCAGTTTGGGTGTAATTGTGGTGGAATAACAGAAATCAACAAAGGACAAGTGGCTGAGGAAAAAGCACATGGGGGTGTGGAGTTTGGGGCTGATCCTGATGACTATGATCATGCCCAGATTCCCCAGCACAGTGACTGTGTAGATGGTCAGGAACACCAGGAACAGGGGCGTCTGAAGGTCTGGATATTCTGAGAAGCCCAAGAGGATGAAGGTGACTTCAGAAGTCTGATTTTCTTGGTCCCTGGGACAAAATAGGGAAGTTGATTCAGAGATTCAAGAAGAAATATTTGGACAAGGCCAAGTAAAATGAGGAAATGTTGAGAGGTTTAGTGATTATTTATAAAAAGACTTATGGATATGCTTAGTTTCAACAATTACATTGTTTCAAAAGCTAGAATTTGCTAATATCACAATTATACAGTGCATATAAAATGTATGTCAATGTAATAATAAAATATGGGAACTGAGAGAGGAAGAACAAAAGTGCCGTTGGCTCTGGTATATTTTAAACCATCCGGTTCAGTAGCCTCAGACGCAACTGGCTTCACGAGAAGGGCCAGTCTACCTTTTGCATGAGTCAGAGTTTAGTGAAAACGCTTATCTTGGAGGAAGATAAGCATTTCCATTTTATTTCATTTCAATACAATGCTTATTTTGAGTTTCGGTAATTTTTTCACTTCTTCACCTATTAAATGATGAGAACTTGGAACTCTAAAAAGGAAATTAATGATGGAGTAAAATGATCATTACATTTTTGTAACAGTTGTTTCTATAGCTATTTCTGAATTTCCCTTTCCAATGACCTCCCTACATTTAATCACACATTTATCTCCACATATTTCAGATCCTTCCTGTATAATGTGAATGATGCACTTGATCAGCCACATTTATATAATTATTGAAAAAATCTGTTTCCTTTTCTTGATATATTATAATATCAGATATTTAGAATGATTTGGTTTGGGAGCAAACAATAATAATACATCCAGATCATTTTTATTATTCTGAAGTACTTTCTGCCACAACATTCTCAGGTGGTCAAAATTCAGTTCTCCAAATCTTCAAAGATGAGACATCACTTCCTGAAGAATTACAATGGTTTTTATTTGGTTAGGACATTTTTGTTTTGTTTTGTTTGCATTGAATTGCTTACAATAGAGACACAGATAATCTTTCTTATATCCTATACTTTTAGTTTCTTCATCTTTTCCAATAATTTTATCTCAACTTGACTCATTCATCATGGTCATAGTAGTTATGTCATTATCAGTAACTATAAGCCCTGAAAAATATCAATATTATGCAACATCTGTAATATAATATATATTTTACTCATGTTTTCTTCTTTGCCATTTCAACAAATTGTTGTTCTACAATAAAATAATATTAATGAGGGCAAATATGGAAGGCTAGGACATAGTAGATTCTCAACAATCTTGATTGAATAAATGAATGTATATGTGAGTGAATAAATCTAGCCACATATTATACATGTATTGGGGTAAAAGTTTATAATAATACTAAAGAAGCTGGACTTGCCTATTAAATCAGGACCACATTGTAAACTCACAATGCACTGAGGCACACCTGGAGTCCTACAGAACAAGTAGCTATAGTGAAACCCCATGGGACCTAAGCATCTTGAATTAGAATAAAACAAGGAGAGTTAGAAGGGAAAATGAGGTATTGGATTTTTAAAAAATGTTCTGAGTTCATTCAAAATAACTCAATTACTGTTTTGTGCCAGTTTAATCCAGAACCATGTCATGACTGCTTACCGAAAGCTAAAATAGCAGTAGGCATAGAAAGAACACCATTCCACACAGCATTCTGTAAAAATTCTATGCTTTATCATTAGGTGAAATTAAGCACTCTATAGTTTACACTGAGTTGTTACAATGTTTAGTCTCCAAGAGAATATACTGCACGCACTTATATTTTGCAGAAAACATAAGTGCATGCAGTGTATATATATATATATATATATATATATATATATGATTATATATAGAGAAAATTATATAGGTTTTATATAGGTTAGGGTTAGGGTTACATATAAAAGTATTTTATGTACAACTTACATATCCATGCAGTTTCTTTCTTTAATTGCTCCTTTAAATTCACTTCATTTGACACCTGTGATTTGACCGTCTACATTTGTTGTTATTTTCTAAACTTATGTTTTAGTTTGACACAAAACTCATTGAGTGCAAATTTCCTAACTGAACATACTTTTTCAAGCATTTTCCAATATCTGTATTCTTTCCTAAGGATGTTCTAACAAACTCTGAGCAGACTGGGCCTGAAAAGAAAATCATTTCCATCAAAGATATGTATTTTATAATATATATTCGACTTATTGTTACCCAAACATCTTTTCTATGTGTGGCACTTTTGAACCCACTTCCTACACTCTTATTTCTTGACTGAAAGACTTGGGGCCAAAGTTCACAATCTCCCATTTAGCCCCAGGAAGTGTCACCCTTTTTGAGCTGAATGAGGGCTCAAGGTGCCGTGCACAGGCTTTCCCTCTTTTGTAGTGACACCCAGCATGGCTATCCGATTGTGCATTTGCTATGCACTCAGCACTGTAATAGGCATTTTAGAAACTGTAAAATTATAAAATATTGGCCTTGACCTCAAAACTGTTTTTCTAAGAATTATTCCGAGGCATAATGCATGTAATTGCAAATTATACAACATAGCATACAATTCTTATTACTTATTAAAACTAAAGTTTGTGCCCATAAAAAGAAGAAGAATATTGTGATAAAAAGAATACAGGCAAATTAATAATAATAAATATGGTGAAAGATAATATTCCTAGTTAACGGAACGGCAGTTAGATTTACATATGGGTTTGCCTCCTGCAAAGATTGTTGGAACACACTCTTTTCCTTCTAAAGTTATATAAAGTAAGAATTGAATAACTCACTTAAGTACAGAATAAATTGACTTATTCATTCATTTACTAACGCTTCTTTTGCAAAGATTAACGGACTCCAGGAAAGTTCTTGTGGAGAACTGAAAAAAAAAAAAAAAAAAGCAAATCACAATAAAAGTGGCAGGCAGGAGTTTGTAATATATTTCAATAAATGTTTCAAGAAAATGACTTTTTTCCCCTGATTTTTTCAAATAAACTCAGTGATAACAGAGAGAAAAATGTTACCAAAAGACTGAATCCTGACACCAAACTGTGTCACAAATATATATGCCACAAAGGCCTTAGGGATGTTAACCCTAGAGAATATAATTGAAGTATTGCCTAAGAGGCCACAAATAAAGCAATTACATAAAACAATGCCCCATGTGATATCCTGGTTGCATGTAATTTCTTGTAATAACTGGTGAATAATTTCATCATAAACTTAAATATGTTGAACCACACAATATATTTTAATTTAAAATACCTGAAAATACAAAAATGTACAAAAGAAAAAAAAACAGCCATTGGGCAACAATCCAGAGATAAATACTCTCAATTGTTTCTTTATTTCAAGTTTTCTCACTCCCATGTGTGTATGTATGTATTAGTGTGTATCTGATACAAAGCTTATATAATAAATATCATAGCTATATTTTATATTATCCTTTTTATATAACATTGCACTGTGAGCTTCATTTTAGGTAGCAAATGTTTATTCAACTTATATAAATACCTGTTCGACTTTTCTTTAAGTAAATGTGATATGCATTATTTTTTAATTTATTAGATATGTAGTTCAGTGATTCTCGAAATTCATTGTTAATTTCATTACAAATAGAGATGCAAAAATTCCTCAAGAGAATACTACAAACTGTACTCAACAGCATGTAAAAAGACATTAAAATTAAACACATGGCAAGTGGAATTTATTCCTGGAATGCAAGTATAGTACAATTTACCACATTAAAATTAATCAGTATAATACACCACATTAACAGTGTAAATGAAAAAATACCTGATCTTCTCAATTAGTGCAGAAAAGCGATTTGACAAAAGTGCACACTCTTTCATAATAAAACCACTAAAAAAACTAAGAATAGAGAAAACATCTTCAGTATATTAAGGCCAGCGATATATGAAAAACCTATGCTAATTAATACTCAAAGGTGGAAAGACTGAAAGATTTTCCTCAAAGTTCAAGAATAAGACAAGGATGTTTTCTTTCACCACTTTCATTCAAAATCGTTTTAAAGGTTCTAGCCAGAGCAATTAGGCAAGAAAAGTTTTTTAAAATCATCCAAATTTGACAGAAGAAAATCAGAATTTTAGCAGATGACTTTTTTTCATTTTTTTTATTTTTATTTTTTACAGAGTTTCACTCTTGTTGCCCAGGCTGGAGTGCAATGGCACAACCTTGGCTCAATGCAACCTCTGCCTCCCATGTTCAAGTGATTCTCCTGCCTCAGCCTTCTGAATAGCTGGGATTACAGGTGCCCACCACCATGGCCGGTTCACTTTTTGTATTTTTAGTAGAGACAGGGCTTCACCATGTTGACCAGGCTGGTCTTGAACTCCTGACTTCAGGTGATCCACCCGCCTCAGCCTCCCAAAGTGCTGGGATTACAGGCGTGAGCCACCATACCCAGCCGACATATCTTATATATAGAAAATCCTAAAGATTCCAAACACCCTTACCCAAATATAACTCCTAGAACTAATAAACAAATCCAGAAAAATTGCAGGATACAAATTAAACGTACAAAAATCTGTTGCATTTCTATACTTGCAAAAAACAAGCCCCACCCCAAAAAATTAAGAAAACAAGTTATTTGCATTTGCTTCAAAAACAATGAAATACTCAGGAATAAACTTAGCCAAACAGACAAAAGAATAATACACTGGAAAGCATAAAATGTTGCTGACAGAAATTAAAGAGGACATAAATAAAGGAAAAGTCATCTCATGTTCATAGATTTGAAGGCTTTATATTTTAAGATGCCAATACTCCCCATAGCAATTACAAATACAGTGAAAACTCTATCAAAATCCTAATGACATTTTTAATAGAAAAATCCATTCTAAAATCTAGACAGAATTACATGAGACCCTAAAAGGCCAAAACAATCTTGAAAAAGGAAAACAAAGTTTGAGGTTTCACACTTTCTGATTTCATACTTACCACAGAACTATAGTAATCAAAGCAGTAAAGTACTGTTATAAAGAAAGTTATATAGACTAATAGAATAGAATAGACAACCCAGAAGTAAACGTACATATATATGGTCAAATGTATTACACATCAGTGCCAAGATTATTCAATAGGAAGAGTTCAGTCTTTTTAACAGATGGTATTGAGAAAACTAGCCTCCTGCCAGAGAAATTTGAACCCTTATCTTACACAATGAACAAAAAATTAACTTAAAATGGATTAAAGACCTAAAGGTAAGAGCCAAAACTATACAACTCTTAGGATATACATGAGTCAGTTCTCACACTGCTGTAAAGAAATACCTGAGACTGGGTAATTTATAAAGAAAAGTGGTTCAGTTGGCTCATGGTTCTGCAAGCTGTACAGGAAGCATGATGATGGCATCTTCTTGGCTTCTGAGGAGGCCTCAGGAAACTTACAATTATGGTGAAAGGTGAAGGGGAAGCAGGCACATCTTACGTGGCTGAAGCAAGAGGAAGAGATGGGGTGGCAGGGGGGTGCTACACACTTTTAGATAACCAGATCTCATGAGACCTCACTCACTCAATGTCACAAGAACAGCACCAAGAGGATGGTGCTAAACCATTCATGAGAAACCGCCCCCACGATTCAATCACCTACCACCAGGTCCCACCTCCAACACTGGGGTGTTACATGAGATTTTGTGGGGATACAGATGCAAACCTTGCCAGGGGAAGACCTAGAAAAAAAACTTCATGACACTGACTTTGTTAATTATTTATTGTATATGACACCAAAAGTATTTACATACATATATATGTATATAATATATGTATGTACATGTATATGTACATGTATACGTACATGTATGTATACATGTACGTATACATATATATGTATATATACACATGTATATATAATGTGTATATATGTATATAATATATGTATATACATACATACATATATATATAATGGACTTCATCAAAATTAAAAACTAAAAACTTCAAAGAACACTCCTAACAGAGTAAAATGGCAGCCCAAAATATAGGATAAAATCTTTTGAAATCATATTTCTAAGTGATTAATGTACAGAATATATATATTTTAAAAACTCCTATAAATCTACAAAACAAAAACAGCCCAATTCAAAAACAGGCAAAGAACTTGAATACACATGTCTTCAAAGAAGCTACACACATGCCAATAAGCATGTGGAAACATGTCCAGCACTACTAATTGGGGATATGCAAATCAAAACCACAATGAACAGCAGCTCCTTTATTTAAGACGAACAGATTCTAGAGTTCTAGAGTTCTGCTGTACAACATTGTGCTTTTAGTTTTTTTTTTTAAAACCATACTGCATAAAATTAAAATTCTGTTGAACGTTTGAGCTCATGTATTTGGTCTTATGACAATAATAACACACACACACACAAACAAATAAGTAAACAAAACAGCTACCACCTCACACCCTTTAGGATGGCAATTATGAAAAAGAAAAAACAAACAAAGAAAAAGAAGGAAAAGTTGGAAAATAACAGGATTCAGGGGAGATGGAATGAATTGGACTCCTTGAATATTACTGGTGAGAATGTAAAATGGTGAAGCTGCTCTACAAAAACCTATGGTAGTTCCTCCAATAATTAGACGTGAAAATACACATGACCCAGCAATTACACTTCCAATAGATACTCAAATAATTGAGAGCAGAGATTCAAACATATTTTTTGTGTACCAATGTTCTTCCCAGTATTATTCACAGTATTATTCACAGTAGCTCAAAGTAGAGCTCTCCATGGAGAGATAATTCAACATGCATGAACCATGAAAACATTAAGTTAAGTGAAATAAGACAGACACAAAAGGCAAATATTGTAATATACTATGTATAAGAGGTACCTAGAAACATCAAATTACAGAGACAAAAAAATTAGTGCTTACCAGGGACTTGGGGAGAAATAAATGCAGAGCTATTGCCTCTGAGCAACAAAATCCTCTTTATGCCTGATGTTTGAAACAGAAGGCTTAAGGGAAGCACTAATTTAAATACAGATGGGTGACGGATGATGGATAGGTAGATAGATAGCTCGCTGATACAGGACAGACATATATACATACAGAGAAGAATCAAGCAATACAGAAACATATACATATATTATGCATAAACCGCATACACATTTTTTTAAATTTTATTATTATTATACTTTAAGTTTTAGGGTACATGTGCACAACGTGCATTAAGTATACCTATATGTCACATACTGTTTGCATTTTGCATTTTCCTTTACATTTTGCAAAAGTATATGTTTACAAATCAAACTTTTACACCATTTAATTCTCAAAGAATTTCCAAATGTGTTTGTAAGGTTTTCAAAAATATTACAAATGGTTAACCAAAACTTGAATATTTCAATGATTTTCCAAGGAAACCTACCAAATTATATAAGAGGTTGACAAATAAATCTTAGTCCAATATTCTTTCTTGCATGAAGAAATTTTTTTAAATTTTATCCTAGTTTGACATAATGAGAACAAAATATTTTACTTTTCATCAATATTACAAGTCAATTATTGTCTAATTGTTGTATAATTCTTAGCCAATTGTAATTGGTAGAATTTGTTTTCATATAGTCTAGTAGTACAAAATCCACCTCCTGAATAGTAGCTGAGGGAATAAATTTTTCTGTTGCAAGTGGCAAAAACAGAATACCCACTAGAGGGCAGAGTGATACCAGTAATAAGAATACAGTTTTCACATACACATGAGCAGTCATAAAACATGACTATATTTTAACATATTAAAAACTATAAAGTCAACAAAAGTTGAAAAATATGCAAATAGAATTCCATGAAGACAGGAGAAAAGCAATAATTAATAACAATATTTTACTAAACAATAAGACATTTCATTTAAGAATGTAAAACCTTGCCATTAAAAATAATACAGGGATGATCCAGACCACAACAGCAAAATTATTATAGAAGGTATACATAGGACAATTACCAGAATACATTTTATGGTAGTGTATATCTATATCAATGAAATGAAGATAAATAAGAAATTCCATAGAAAAGACATAGAAAAAGGCTTTAAGCTAATAACAGCACTTAAAAGTTACTCTTTGTATCTATCCTCCCAAAAACCATTCAGATCAAAGAAAGTAAATAAATGAATCACACATTTGTGCATCACTTTAAGACAGATGACCCTATGAAGTGAAAGTTGACTATAGGTAGAGAAATATTTTTCAGAAGAAAAGAACTGAATTTGAAAATGTCATAATTCCATGTGGGTAGAGTGAAGTCTGAAGAGACAGCTTAGAAAAGAGAAAAGGGAAATAGAAATCCTACTAGTGGGATCAAATGGATAAAATCAATAAGAAAATTCTACTGTCATAACAAAAATTAAAAACCGAGTCAAGGCCTGATAGAAAACAGCATTACCTAGGGAAAAAAAGCCGAGCTATTGTATAAAACTTGTTGTGAAAAACCTAGAAAAGTTATTTCCAGGGAAAAGGAGGAGAGTAGAATAAAGACATTGCCCTGTAGAGTTGTAATGGTTAAGAAAGAGGAAGTAATGCAAGTAAATTGAGTATTCTCCTAAAACAAAACACACACACACACACTCACTACAACAAAGTTTGTTGGAGGTAATATTTTATAAATATTTTTGTGTATTTTTATGTATTTAGATATAGAGATATACACAGCTATATGTGTGTGTATATGTAGAGTTGTCCCTCGGTATTCATGGGGGATTGGTTTCATGACCTCCAGGGTTATGAAAATCTGCAGATGCTCAAGTTTCTGATATAAAATAGCATAGTATTTGCATATAACCTATGCATATCTTTGGCTATGCTATAAATTATCTCTAGATTACTTATAACATCTAATACTATCTAAATAGTTATTCTACTGTATTGTTTAGAAAATAATGCTGAGAAATCGCCACACCGACTTCCACAATGGTTGAACTAGTTTACAGTCCCACCAACAGTGTAAAAGTGTTCCTATTTCTCCACATCCTCTCCAGCACACGTGTGGCGATTCCTCAGGGATCTAGAACTAGAAATACCATTCAACCCAGCCATCCCATTACTGGGTATATACCCAAAGGATTATAAATCATGCTGCTATAAAGACACATGCACACGTATGTTTATTGTGGCACTATTCACAATAGCAAAGACTTGGAATGAACCCAAATGTCCAACAATGATAGACTGGATTAAGAAAATGTGGCACATATACACCATGGAATACTATGCAGCCATAAAAAATGATGAGTTCATGTCCTTTGTAGGGACATGGATGAAGCTGGAAACCATCATTCTCAGCAAACTATCTCAAGGACAAGAAACCAAACACCGCATGTTCTCACTCATAGGTGGGAATTGAACAATGAGAACACATGGACACAGGAAGGGGAACATCACACACCAGGGCCTGTTGTGGGGTGGGAGGAGGGGGGGAGAGATAGCATTAGGAGATATACCTAATGCTAAATGACCAGTTAATGGGTGCAGCACACCAACATGGCACACGTATCCATATGTAACAAACCTGCACGTTGTGCACATGTATCCTAAAATTTAAAGTATAATAAAAATTTTAAAAAAAGAAAAGAATGCTGAGAAAAAAACATCTATACATGTTCAGTGCAGAGGCAATTTTATTCTTGAATATTTTTGATCTACAGCTAATTAAATACACAGATGTGGAACTCATAGACAGTATGGCTGACTGCATTTATCTACCTATATATAGACATCTATGTATAAATCAATCAATCAAACTACATATATACCTATCTTTCTACATACACAGGAACTCACACAGGGACACATACACACTATAATAGCACACAAAAATGTCTCTATCCATGCAATGAACTACAAGGGTGGGAAGGGAGTCAGCAAATAAGATCAAAATATTCCAACCAATGAGAATATAATGATACAAAAACGGGCAGAAGGAAATTATACCATAACACTTCAGATTAAATTAAATATAATTTAACAAGCATTTTTAAGTATTAAAAATATCTTGAATTAAACATTTTGAATAAAATATAAATAGACAAAAAGGGCTTATACCTAAACAATGTTGGGCAGACTTAATAAACAAATTGAAGAAATAGTCCATTTGAGAAATCAGGACACAGTTACAAAGTAGAAAAGGGAGACTAAACACAAATATAAATTTAATAAAGTATACCAAAAATAATTAGGAAAACAATCAAGAAAATGAAAAATAAGGAAAGAAAGGAAAAGGGTAGACAAAAAATAAGTGAAATGTCAACAGTCAAAGAAGATTCAATACTTACATAATTGGAGTCTTAGGAAAAATAAAAAAGCAACACAATAGGAATATACACAGTGAAAGGGCCCATATTTTAAAATGTATATGTTTCCTTATAGGTGAAGTGTGTCTCTTATAGGCAGAAGATAGATGGGTCTTGGTATTTTTCTTTTAGATGGGTCTTGTTTTGTTTTTTTTTTTTTTCTTTTTCTTTCTTTTTCATCCATTCAGACACTCTATGTCATGTCTTTTGACTGGATAATCTAATCTATTTATATTTGAGGTATTTGTTGGTAGATAACAACTTACCTACTGCCATTTTAAAAATAGTTTCTGGTTGTATTGTAGATCCTTGGTTCCTTTTTCCTCTCTTATTGTCTTCCTTTGTGATTAGGTGATTTCTCCCTAGTTGTATAGTTTGATTTTTTTCTTTTTCATCTTCTATGTATCTACTACAGGTTTTTGCATTGTGGTTATGATGAGGTTTGCATAAAACATCTTATAGTTATAATAGGGTATCTTAAGCTGATAAAAACATAACATCACTCACATGAAGTGAGTCTTTTTATTCAATTTACACTTCACATTTTTTGTTTTTGGTGTCATGATTTACATCATTGTCTATTATATGTCCCTAAACAAATTATCATAACTATTATTTTAATACTTTTGTCATTAAACCTAACTAAAGATATCAGTGATTTACACATCATCGTTATAGTCCAGGTGTATTCTAAATTTGGCTATATACTTACTTTAAATAGTGAGTTTTATACTTTCATATGTTTTCATGTTACTAGTTAGTGCTTTTTTCTTTCAGTTGAAGAACTCTCTTTAGCATTTGTTGTAAACTAATCTGGTCATGGTGAAGTCCCTCAGCTTCTCTCTCCTTCATTTCTGAAGGGATAGCTTTGTTGGGTAAGTTATTCTGGGTCGGTAGTTTGGGGTGTGTGTGTGTGTGTGTGTGTGTGTGTGTGTGTGTGTGTGTGTGTCTGTGTGTCTGTGTGTCTGTGTGTTTCCTTCAGCACTTAAATCTATCATCCCACTATCTTCAGACCTGTGAGGTTTCTGCTGAGAAATTTGTTGCTGGTCTTACTAAATTCTTTCTAATATGGGATTTTCAGTCTTTGATTTTAGACATATTAATTATATCTTTGCATCATCTTGTTTGGATTGCATCTAATTGGAGACTTTTCCCTTTCCTGTACTTGAATATTTATAGCTTTCCCTACATTTGGAATATATTCTGCTATTATTTTTTAAATGAGTTTTATGTCTTTCTCTCTCTTTCCCTCCAACTCCTACAAGTTACAAATTTGCTTTTTTGATGATGTCCCATATGTCCTGTAAGCTTTTTCCATTCCTTTTCATTTTTCCCTTTATTTTTAACTGACTGTATATTTTCAAATAACCTGCCTTCAAGTTCACAGATTCTCTGTTTGATCAATCCTTTTGTTAATGTTTTTCTTTTGCATTTTTTCTTTTGTTCATTTTATTTTTCAGCTCCATAATTTGTTTGTTCTTTTTTTCAAATTCAATCCGTTAAATTTCTTGTTTGGTCATGTATTGTTTTCTTGATTTTGTTGAATTATTTCTCAGTATTTTCTAGAAGTTCACCCATCTTGTTAAAATTATATCAAATTATTTCTCAGGCAGTTCAGACATCTCCATTATTTTAGAGTTAGCTACTAGCATTTGTATTTGTTATTTATTTATTTATTTAGTTAGTTAGTTATGTATTTATTTATTGTAATGTCATGTTTCCCTGGTTGTTCTTGATACTTGTGACCATGCATTGTTGTCTGTGCATTTGAGGAAGTAGAGATTTATTTCAGTCTTTGAAGAGTGGCTTTGTCTGAGAAAGGCTTGACCAGTCAACCTATTCAGAGATTCTGACTAGGCTGTTTTGCATGTTCTGCAGGTGGACTTGCTGTGGATTCCTCAGGTAGACTTCTGGTTCTTGAGTCAGCAGGTCAACAGATCTGGCAACTGGGTCCATGGCATTGGCCTGGAGTCTGGATCCACTCCAGACTGGACTCCAGGACCTGTTGACCTGGAGTCTGACCAGGGAGATTCCACAGGAGCTGACCTGGTGTTTAACTTGCATCTACAGGAGCCATTGAGGTGCTAATTCCAGCACCTGAGCCTGGAACCTTGGTCCACTGGGCTGAGCCTGGATCCTGAAATCCATGGGAATGGGCTTGATATTGGAGTGGGCCTGGATCTGAGGTCTACAGAGGTGGGCTTATGTTTTGCAGCCAGGGAGCTGGCTTAGAGCCTGGGTCTGAATGAGTAATCCTGGAGCCTTGGTTGGTGGGGACCATCCAGGTTCTACTGTCTAGTGGGTAGTCCCAGTGCCTAGGTCTGCTAGAATAGACCTGGCCCCTGGGGTCACGGAAGCCTGGGGGCGCTAGAACAAGCCCAGAGCCTGGGGCTGACCTGCTGCTTGGAAGGCATGGAGCCTGTGTCTGTGGAGTATTTCTGAAGACTGGAATCATGATGGCACGGTACCTAGAGACACAGTCATTGGCATAAAGCCTGTGTCATGGGGTCAGCCTGGAGGCAGGGTATGGGAGTCTCATGGTGGAGACTAGATCCATGAGGGTGGGTCTAGGTCCTAGAGATGCAGTAGCCAGTCTGAGTCCAAAGGCCATCAGGGCCAACCAGCAACCTGGGTCCACAGGTTGGTTTTGGGGCATATGTTCTTGGGAGCTGGCCAAGCATTGGGATCTTCTGGTTTGGGCTAGGACTCTGTGTCTGCTACAACAGGCCTGGATGCTGTGTCAGCTGGAGCTAAAGGCCACAGAGGTTGGCCTAGAGAATAGGGTTGCAGGGACCAACTTCTTACTGAGCAGGCCAAAGGCCAGAGTTTATAGGTGCTGGACTGGTGATTGAGGCCATGAGAACTGATTTGGCATTGGAATGGGGCGGAAACCTGGGGTTGTAAGGGTCGGCTGAGTAGTGGGGACAGTTTGGAGCCTGCGGCCACTGGGGCCAACCTTGTCCTGAGGTAAACCTTGAAACTGAATCTGCTGTGCTGGCCTGGAGCTTGGGGCTGTGGGATGCAGTCAGGCACATCAGCAAGCCTGGGCCCTGTCAATAGGTGTTAGCTTGAAGTCTGGGGCCATGTGGACCTGACCAATGCTGACTTTTACCGGAGCAGACCTGGTATTGTCTAAGGAGAAGTTTGGTGCTCACTTACTTCTCTTCCCTCCAAGCAGAGGGTATCTCTTTCCAAGCCGTGCTGCCTAGGGTTGGGAGAGAAGTGACACAGGTAACATAAAATTCTCTTTCATGCCCTCTTCAATGCATGTTTCATTATTTCTGTGCTATGCCCAATTGCTGGAATCTCTCACCTGGTTTTCTTAGCTCTTGTGAAGGTTATCATGCATGGATAGATGTCCAATTGCTATTTCGGCATGGGAGCAAGCACTGAAAAGTCCTATTTTGTTGATGTCTGAATCTGAGTCATAATTCTACAATTTGTTATGTTAACAAATGGGCTCTAAAATAAGACTCTGTAATTGAGGTAGTAACATTGGGTGTTGACTCTGAAAGTCTCAAAAAATAAATTCTGGCTCTGGGCAAATACAATCAGTCATTTCCTCATTTACAGAAAAGGACAGCTGTTTATTGTCTGGATGGAGATCTACAGTAACCTCACCTGAAGCTATTTTCTTGCAAAATAATGCTAATTTTCTTCTGATTTATTCTCAGTATGCGGCTACTAGAACAATAATAAGGGTCACATCTCAGCACAGCTATGAAGGGAAAGTTTATACACTTCAAACCTAAAATGTCATACATTTAACTATAGTGTATTATAAATCATTTTGTTTTCACCTATGTCAATTAGCAATCATTGGATAATCAATACATACCAGTGATTGATGCATAATTATCTGAATTATGTTTTTCTTAAAAAGTGATTTCCTAAAATTACTCATTTGATAACTGTTTCATAACTTCTGTAATTCCACTTGTATATACATGTGGTTATTCCATGTAATCTACATATTTTAAACAGTATCTTTATATATTTTTTATTATTATTGTACTTTAAGTTTTAGGGTACATGTGCACAATGTGCATGCTAGTTATATAAGTATACATGTGCCATGCTGGTGTGCTGCACCCATTAACTCGTCATTTAGCATTAGGTAGATCTCCTAATGCCATCCCTCCCCCCTCCCCCCACCCCACAACAGTCCCCAGAGTGTGATGTTCCCCTTCCTGTGTCCACGTGTTCCCATTGTTCAATTCCCACCTATGAGTGAGAACATGCGGTGTTTGTTTTTTGTCCTTGCAATAGTTTACTGAGAATGATTTCCAATTTCATCCATGTCCCTACAAAGAACATGAACTCATCATTTTTTATGGCTGCACAGTATTCCATGGTGTATATGTGCCACATTTTCTTAATCCAGTCTATCATTGTTGGACATTTGGATTGGTTCCAAGTCTTTGCTATTGTGAATAGTGCCGCAATAAACATAGGTGTGCATGTGTCTTTATAGCAGCATGATTTATAGTCCTTTGGGTATATACCCAGTATTGGGATGGCTGGGTCAAATGGTATTTCTAGTTCTAGATCCCTGAGGAATCGCCACACTGACTTCCACAATGGTTGAACTAGTTTACAGTCCCACCAACAGTGTAAAAGTGTTCCTATTTCTCCACATCCTCTCCAGCACCTGTTGTTTCTTGACGTTTTAATGATTGCCATTCTAACTGGTGTGAGATGATATCTCATTGTGATTTTGATTTGCATTTCTCTGATGACCAGTGATGGTGAGCATTTTTTCATGTGTTTTTTGGCTGCATAAATGTCTTCTTTTGAGAAATGTCTGTTCATGTCCTTCAACCACTTTTTGATGGGGTTGTTTGTTTTTTTCTTGTAAATTTGTTTGAGTTCATTGTAGATTCTGGATATTAGCCCTTTGTCAGATGAGTAGGTTGTGAAAATTTTCTCCCATAACAGAGCCCTCAGAAATAATGCCACATATCTGCAACTATCTGATCTTTGACAAACCTGACAGAAACAAGCAATGGGGAAAGGATTCCCTCTTTAATAAGTGGTGCTGGGAAAACTGGCTAGCCATAAGTAGAAAGCTGAAACTGGATCCCTTCCTTACACTTTATACAAAAATTAATTCAAGATGGATTAAAGACTTAAATGTTAGACCTAAAACCATAAAAACCCTAGAAGACAACCTAGGCATTACCATTCAGGACATAGGCACGGGCAAGGACTTCATGTCTAAAACACCAAAAGCAATGACAACAAAAGCCAAAATTGACAAATGGGATCTAATTAAACTAAAGAGCTTCTGCATAGGAAAAGAAACTACCATCAGAGTGAACAGTATCTTCATATTTTAACATTTTGCACTGGTGTCTGGAGAATTTTCCAGCATATTTTCTAATTCACTATTTCTTTTTTTAGTATAATATTTGTTTTTCAACACAAAATTGAGTTTTATAATTTTAATTATAACATATATAAAATAAAACAGATATTATATATATGGCTGCAGCTTAAAGACTCATATAAAATGAATTATTTTATACCACCAACCTCATAAAATAGAATGTTATGTGTTCTTTTTAAATGAATTAAGGTTCCTTCCCCAAACTATGCCCTTCCTCCCATTCAGAAGTAACTACTCATTGAATTACATATTTATAAATATCCTGTTTATTTTTATATCAGTAGTATTAATGTAAATATATAAATATTGATATATAAAATATGAATATATCCTATTAATATGTAGATATAGATATAGTTCTAAAACAATATATTATCTAATTTTACCTGCTTTTGAACTTGAATCTTCTGTAAATAGTTTTCTTCTCTCAAAATTATATTTTTGGAGATTCATATTAGGATAAAAACATTTAGTTCATTTTTTTCTTTAGTGTTTTGTGCTATGCATAACCTGCAATTTATTTATCTATTCCTCTATTCTTGAACAACTGATTTGTCTTGTTTTGTTTTTATCTGCTAATTCAGACAAAACTGTTGTGAACATTCTTAGAATTGGCTCCAGGTAGAAATGTGTAACAATATCCATGATGAGCGTAAATGATACTTGAATTGCTGAATTACAGAGAATGAATACATTCAACTTAATACTTACTCCCTATCCCACAGATTGCAAAAATTGACATTCACAAGCAGTGCTTGAGAGTTCTCATAATTTAACATCCTTGCTAAAACATGGACATTTATAAGTTTAAATTTTGCAGTACTGGGGACGGCAAAATCTTATTTCACTGGGATTTTAATATGCATTTTACACTGCATAATTTTTAACTCCCTGTGAAGCAATATGACACTGTTTAATGCATATATATATAATAAATGGTGTTGTCTGCAAAGGCCAATGTTGCATAAATGAGCCAAAGATAGCATCCGTATTTTTCTTCTTTGTCGTTAACTTCTTCACAGCAGAGTGAGAACCATTAGCTCAAAAGTCCATCAGCACCATAACTCAACTTTTTATATATCCAATGGTAGTAAACATAGACCATAAAAGCAGATTTTTAGTCATTTAGAGCTAGCCTGCTTTGCATACTTCATGAAACTGCACCCAACATCAGCTAGCCATGAAAAAGGTGAACCTTGTGGTTACGAGACCTCAAGTCACTACTTCCCCCCCGAGCTCTCAGACCCACAGACTCCTCACCTTGCTGCTGATTGATATTACTTATGCCTGTACACCTCTTCTCTTATCCTCTCCCCTTGCAGTTCCCTTGCTTTCCTCCCATTCTAGGCAGTGCTGATGGATGGTCTCATGCTGTGAGGGAATTTTCCTCACTTGCAAATCTGTCTGAGCTTCCAATAAAGCTCATTGCATGCTACCATCTATTCATGCTCACATAGTTTTCCTTAATCAGCCCTGAAATTCCTCAAATTTATTGCATCCAATCCCCCCCCCATTTTTACTGTTTGGGAGTATCATGGCTTTAATGTCCTTTAATATATCTCATATATTTTAGAATATGCTCAGTGAGCTCCATTAGAAGGACTTCGTGTCTAAAACACTAAAAGCAATGGCAACAAAAGCCAAAATTAACAAATGGGATCTAATTAAACTAAAGAGCTTCTGCACAGCAAAAGAAACTACCATCAGAGGGAACAGGCAACCTACAGAATGGGAGAAAATTTTTGCAATGTACTCATCTGACAAAGGGCTAATATCCAGAATCTACAATGAACTCAAACAAATTTACAAGAAAAAAACAAACAACACCATCAACAAGTGGGTGAAGGATATGAACAGACACTTCTCAAAAGAAGATATTTATGAAGCCAAAAGAAACATGAAAAAATGCTCATGATCACTGGCCATCAGAGAAATGCAAACCAAAACCACAAGGAGATACCATCTCACACAAGTTAGAATGGCAATCATTAAAAAGTCAGGAAACTACAGGTGCTGGAGAGGATGTGGAGAAATAGGAGCACTTTTACACTGTTGGTGGGACTGTAAACTAGTTCAACCATTGTGGAAGTCAGTGTGGCGATTCTTCAAGGATCTAGAACTAGAAATACCATTTGACCCAGCCATCCCATTACTGGGTATATACCCAAAGGATTATAAATCATGCTGCTATAAAGACAGATGCACATGTATGTTTATTGCAGCACTATTCACAATAGCAAAGACTTGGAACCAACCCAAATGTCCAATAATGATAGACTGGATTAAGAAAATGTGGCACATATACACCATGGAATACTATGCAGCCATAAAAAATGATGAGTTCATGTCCTTTGTAGGGACATGGATGAAGCTGGAAACCATCATTCTCAGCAAACTATCACAAGGACAAAAAACCAAACACCACATATTCTCACTCACTTATGTGTTTTCTATGATAAGTTGTGTTTACTTAAAGTTTTATTTTCCTGTTGCTGCTTGCATTTGGAAATTAATTTGGCTTTTGTTACTGGTCATATTTCTGAATACAACGAATAATCCCTTATATTCATTATATATCCAGATGCTTTTTCTACATAAATATGCACATAATTTTTGAATACTATTTTTATATATTTTTTTCAATTCTTGATGCTTTTATTTCTTCTGCTTATTATAGTGTACTTGCTAGGACCTCCAGTGCAATGATAAACAGAACAAAGATAATAGACATTCTTAATGTGTTTCTGTTGAGTAGAATAGTTTCAACCTCTCAAAATTAAATACTATGCTCATTTATTTGTTTTATACAACCTATACCAAATGTAATAAATTTTCTTGTAAGCATTAGTTAAGAATTTCTATCATATTTTTAATAAAATCTTTTGAGGGGATTACATAATTTTTTCTCCTTTAATGTATGAGTGGATATACAATGTAGAAAAAGACTTTGTGCTCTTAGTAAACTTATCAGATGTGAAGCGTTAGGGTTTTTCATATATTGCTGGATTCACTTTACTAATATTTTGGTTAAGACTCACATTCATACCCATGCATGAAATTGGGTTCTAATCCCCTTTCTAGCTTGATTATGATGTTAAGTGTATACTACTTTTGTAAAATAAATGGCCTATTTCTTCCTTATTTTCTGAAGGAGTTTGTACAGGATTGGAATTATCACTTCCTTGAATGTTTACTGAAACTTTCTATAGAATTTCTTGGGCCTAGTGTTTTATAATAAGGATCTAATACGTTTTAGTCTAAGAGAATGAAGAAATTTTCAAAAATTATTTTAATTATTGAATCAGATATTTTAATTACATATTGTAAATTTTCCATTTTACTTAAAATTTTCTATTTAGTGACTTTTAAAAAATATTATTTCAATTTCTAGAGTATCTTTAATGTCTATTTTTTATTCTTAACACTATGTGCTTTTTAATATGAGTCTGAATAGATATTTTGTTTATCTTAGTTGTCAGCTCAAATAAAATCCACTAATTTCCTTTACAATGTACATGTGTTTTGGATGTTTACACCAATTCAGAATTTTACAAATTTTAAAAAATTCTGCGTTCTATAAACTATATATTATGTAATATTCTAATAGAATCTGGAGTAGCAATTCATTGTCATATGTGTTTATTTCCACAGAAAAATACATGAATGTCCACACTCTGATAAATCCATGAATTTCATAAGTATCCTTGAATTGGTTAAGTTTCTCTACCAATACAAAGGAGAAAAATTAGGATTCAGACAAAGGTTTTTCTGATTTTAGAATTATTAAGTAAGAAGTTATGCACATGTAATAAACTTCCAAATTTGTCCACATTTGATATTGAAAAGCAACATTAAATGTTTCTTTTCCATTTTGTTCAATCGTTCACATGTTATATTATTTTTTCCTATTCTTTATTTTTGTACAGTCTACTGGTCATTTTCCAACTTCTTATGCTGGACATAATTCATCATATTTCAGCCTCTGTTTTTCCAGTGTAGCTATTTAATGTTTTAAATTTTCCTTCAATGCTGCAGTAATTTATCAATTACTTAAATATTTTTATTCTAAAAGGCTTTCATTAAAGTTTAATCTACATATAGAAAAATGTACAATCATAAATTACACTCTGAGTTTTCAAATAAGGAATATTCCCATATCATCACCATCCAAACTACACAAAAGTACATGGCAACAACCCTGAAGACGCTCATCCTCCAAATCCCAAAGATAATTACTATGTTGACTTCTGTTACCACAGATTAATTTTGCCTATTATCAACACTATGCAGATTAAGTCATATAGTATCTACTCCTTTGGTCAGTCTTCTTTTACTTAAGAATATATTTGTGATATTTTGCATATCTTGTGCAGCAGTGTTCTTTTTTATTTTTTAGACAGAGTCCCACTCTTTCGCCCAGACTGGAGAGCAGTGGCCCGATCTCGGCTTACTGCAAGCTCTGCCTCCCGGGTTCACGCCATCCTCCTGCCTCAATCTCCCAAGTAGCTTGGACTGCAGGCGCCCGCCACCACGCTCGGCTAATTTTTTGTATTTTCAGTAGAGACGGGGTTTCACTGTGTTAGCCAGGGTGGTCTCGAACTCCTGAGCTTGTGATCCACCCGTCTCAGCCTCCCAAAGTGTTGGAATTACAGGCGTGAGCCACCGCGCCCGGCCAGTGTTCTTTTATTTCATTGCCCCTTCCTGCTGTATAAATATGCTATCATCTATTTATTCATTCTACTTTTGATGGACATATTATTAAGAGTTTATAACTATTTCAAATAATTCTTTCTGAATTTCGTCTCTTTTGGTGAACATACATTTGTATGGATGTTTGTATACATATGTATGTTTGTGACTAGTAGTGGAATTCTGGGATGTGGAAACTCTATGCTCAATTTTAGTCAATTTTCTTCTGAAGTCGTTTGCTGGTTATATAAATTTAGAATCCGCCAGTGGCACTTCCTAGTTGCTCCACTCTACTGCCAACATTTGTTATGTTTAGTCTCTCTTCCTCCTGGTTGCTGCTGAAAATCATCTTTACTCAAGGAAAAAAGGGGCCAAGTGCAGTGGCTCACACCTGTAACTCCAGAACTTTGGGAGGCCGAGGAGGGCGACCTGAGCTCAGGATTTTGAGACCAGCCTGGAAAAATAAAATAAAATAAAGGACAAAAGGGGGCACGAAACATCAGCCTCAGTATCTCTCTTATGTCCTCACACAAGCCTTTTACCCCCACCATATGCTCTGCTTTTCTAGGGGATATTTCTATGTAAAGGACTTCTAGATACAAGTTAAACATTTTATCTCAAAACAGAAGCCTGCATAAGCTTAAACAGGTAGCATGGTTGTTCTCTTTAAGGTCTAAGAATTAATTGATTTCTATTATGATTTGTTTTACCAACTAAGGTGTTTTAATGTATGTTTTTAAATTTTAATTTATTTAAAATACTTATCTAATTACTGCAGATATTTACTTTATTTGCATTTTCATCAGCTGTTGCATTATGTCACAAAGTTAGTGTAATACAGATTTGAAATTTGAGCTGATAGCATAGCATGCTGATAGCATAGCATGCAGTATTTTTTAAAGTAACTTGTATGTACTTAAATGAAATGTGTACCCTAGAGTCTCTGGTTCAAGTGAGCTGTATATGTCCATGAGATCCCATCAAATCTATAAACTTCTAGGTTGATATGAACTTAGAATTTTCATAAATTCCTAGTGTATTGAAATTTCCTCAGTACTATTGGTACATATACCTGATCATTAATACAAATACCATCTTTCCCTAGTTAGTACTTGCACAATAGCTATTTACCCTTTCTTTTCAACCATTCTGCACCTTTATGGTTTAGGTATATTTCTTTAAAATTGTTTTCGTAGATTTAGTGCTGCTCAAGTCCATCTTTTAGTGACCCCAATGGATATGTACACTCACTGTCCTGTTTATTTCCATAGTTCCTAAATCCCTAGCTGAAATAGCCATTCTTAGTGGCAGTTCAAATCCTTAAATTGGCCTCCTGAGCCATACAGTAACCAAACATAAGGACATGGAATATTTTTTTCCTATCAGTATTGTGTGCCCTTAAAACTCACATGTCGAAGCCCTAACTTCCAGTACCTCAGAATGTATATTTGGAGGTAAGCTCTTAAAGAGGTAATTAAGTGAAAATGAGAGGTAATGAAGTGAAAATTAGGATAGACCTTAACTGAATCTGATTTGTGTCTTTTTAAGAAGTGAAAATTTGGATGTACACAAGTAGCACCAGGGACGTGACCCCACAGAGAAAGAGCCATGTGAGGACACAGTGATAAGCAGGCCTCTGCAAAGCCAACGAGAAAGACCTCTGGAAAAACCTGACCAAGGGACACCTTGATCTTGGGCTTCCAAACTTCAGAACTGACTGGAAAATGATGTTCTGTTGTGTCAGCCAACAGGCCTGTGTTACTTTGTTATGGCAGCCCTAGAAAACTAATACATACCCCACTACTTTGAAGTAACTGGTTTGATACCCTGGTGAAATGTCTTACTGAACATTCAAGTGTTAATTCAGAGACAACGAAGTGAAAAGTTGGAGGTTCTCCTGAAGGATGTATTGGCCAAAATAGGATATTGTTTCTTCCTTGGCTTAAAAAAATAATAATAAGAACAAAAATAAACAGTTACGGAAATCAAAGGATGTGCATGGCAGTACCTCCTTTTATTATTTACTGTAAATGGGTTTATTGCCCTAAAACCCAGAATGTTTGCTTTCTGTCCCAGTATTTTTCAATTCAGGTGGTTATGTCTTAGTTACACAGATGTTGTGCTTTTATCAAGAAACACAGCAATTACTTTATTGAATTAGAGAAATTGTCAGCTGGATAATTTGGCCACTTCATGCCTTTAATGAACAAACAGAGAAAAATGGGGCTGAAGTGACTGGTACTGGGGACAAGGGAGATTGGTATTGGCCACAATGGAGGCAAGAATGACCAATATCTGGAATTCTGGAGATTCTTCAAGGGACCTTTTAAAATTTCCATAACTAGCAGAAAAATTTCATGAAGAAATAAAGCAACAACAAAAAACTGGTAAGGCCATTAAGGATTCGGAATTTCAAGAACCAAGATCTGGTTTATCCTAGTAAAAATGAACCCAGGTCAGCTGAAGTTTAGCCTGAAGTCAAAGAAAAGAGAAGTGTAAGAAATAAAGGTGTGAATATTGACTAAAATCTCATGACCAGTTACAGGAACAAGGACTATAGTAGCAATGTATATTTTTCACATATGTGTGTTTTATGTATATAAATATATATATTACAAATTTTGTCCTCTCTTTTTTCTTTTTTTTTTAGCTTTTCTTAAAAATATATATTTTGAAACTTTCCAATGCTGTTCTTTATTTTACAATCTGTGCTTTATATATTTTTCGAATATACACATCAAGGGAATTTAATTAGAATTGCCACAGTTAATTGTTTTCTCAAAATAATCTTGAACTAGACAATTTAAATAATGCTGTGGATTAAAATTATGTCAACAATTTATATATATTTTTTTAATTATACTTTAAGTTTTAGGGTACATGTGCACATTGTGCAGGTTAGTTACATATGTATACATGTGCCATGCTGGTGCGCTGCACCCACTAACTCGTCATCTAGCATTAGGTATATCTCCCAATGCTATCCCTCCCCCCTCCCCCCACCCCACCACAGTCCCCAGAGTGTGATATTCCCCTTCCTGTGTCCATGTGATCTCATTGTTCAATTCCCACCTATGAGTGAGAATATGCGGTGTTTGGTTTTTTGTTCTTGTGATAGTTTACTGAGAATGATGGTTTCCAGTTTCATCCATGTCCCTACAAAGGACATGAACTCATCATTTTTTATGGCTGCATAGTATTCCATGGTGTATATGTGCCACATTTTCTTAATCCAGTCTATCATTGTTGGACATTTGGGTTGGTTCCAAGTCTTTGCTATTGTGAATAATGCCGCAATAAACATACATGTGCATGTGTCCTTATAGCAGCATTATTTATAGTCATTTGGGTATATACCCAGTAATGGGATGGCTGGGTCAAATGGTATTTCTAGTTCTAGATCCCTGAGGAATCGCCACACTGACTTCCACAATGGTTGAACTAGTTTACAGTCCCACCAACAGTGTAAAAGTGTTCCTATTTCTCCACATCCTCTCCAGCACATGTAGTTTCCTGACTTTTTAATGATTGCCATTCTAGCTGGTGTGAGATGATATCTCATAGTGGTTTTGATTTGCATTTCTCTGATGGCCAGTGATGATGAGCATTTTTTCATGTGTTTTTTGGCTGCATAAATGTCTTCTTTTGAGAAGTGTCTGTTCATGTCCTTCGCCCACTTTTTGATGGGGTTGTTTGTTTTTTTCTTGTAAATTTGTTTGAGTTCATTGTAGATTCTGGATATTAGCCCTTTGTCAGATGAGTAGGTTGCGAAAATATTCTCCCATGTTGTAGGTTGCCTGTTCACTCTGATGGTAGTTTCTTTTGCTGTGCAGAAGCTCTTTAGTTTAATTAGATCCCATTTGTCAATTTTGGCTTTTGTTGCCATTGCTTTTGATGTTTTGGACATGAAGTCCTTGCCCACGCCTATGTCCTGAATGGTAATGCCTAGGTTTTCTTCTAGGGTTTTTATGGTTTTAGGTCTAACATTTAAATCTTTAATCCATCTTGAATTGATTTTTGTATAAGGTGTAAGGAAGGGATCCAGTTTCAGCTTTCTACATATGGCTAGCCAGTTTTTCCAGCACCATTTATTAAATAGGGAATCCCTTCCCCATTTCTTGCTTTTGTCAGGTTTGTCCAAGATCAGATGGTTGTAGATATGCAGCATTATTTCTGAGGGCTCTGTTCTGTTTCATTGATATATATCTCTGTTTCGGTACCAGTACCATGCTGTTTTGGTTACAGTAGCCTTGTATTATAGTTTGAAGTCAGGTAACATGGGGCCTCCAGCTTTGTTCTTTTGGCTTCAGATTGACTTGGCAATGTGGGCTAGTTTTTGGTTACATATGAACTTTAAAGTAGTTTTTTCCAGTTCTGTGAAGAAAGTCATTGGTAGCTTGACGGGGATGGCATTTAATCTATAAATTATCTTGGGCAGTATGGCCATTTTCACGATATTGATTCTTCCTACCTATGAGCATAGAATGCTCTTCCCTTTGCTTGTATCTTCTTTTATTTCATTAAGCAGTGGTTTGTAGGTCTCCTTGAAGAGGTCCTTCACATCCCTTGTAAGTTGGATCCCTAGGTATTTTATTCTCTTTGAAGCAATTGTGAATGGGAGTTCACTCATGATTTGGCTCTCTGTTTGTCTGTTATTGGTGTATAAGAATGTTTGTGATTTTTACACATTGATTTTGTATCCTGACACTTTGCTCAAGTTGCCTATCAGCTGAAGGAGATTTTGGGCTGAGATGATGGTGTTTTCTGGATATACAATCATGTCATCTGCAAACAAGGACAATTTGACTTCCTCTTTTCCTAATTGAATACACTTTATTTCCTTCTCCTGCCTGATTGCCCTGGCCAGAACTTCCAACACTATGTTCAATAGGAGTTGTGAGAGAGGGCATCCCTGTCTTGTGCCAGTTTTCAAAGGGAATGCTTCCAGTTTTTGCCCATTCAGTATGATATTGGCTGTGGGTTTGTCATAGATAGCTCTTATTATTTTGAAATACGTCCCATCAATACCTAATTTATTGAGAGTTTTTAGCATGAAGGGTTGTTGAATTTTGTCAAAGGCTTTTTCTGCATCTATTGAGATAATCATGTGATTTTTCTCTTTGGCTCTGTTTATATGCTGGATTACATTTATTGATTTGTGTATATTGAACCAGCCTTGCATCCCAGGGATGAAGCCCACTTGATCATGGTGGATAAGCTTTTTGATGTGCTGCTGGATTCAGTTTGCCAGTATTTTATTGAGGATTTTTGCATCAATGTTCATCAAGGCTATTGGTCTAAAATTCTCTTTTTTGGTTGTGTCTCTGCCAGGCTTTGGTATCAGAATGATGCTGGCCTCATAAAATGAGTTAGGGAGGATTCCCTCTTTTTCTATTGATTGGAATAGGTTCAGAAGGAATGGTACCAGTTCCTCCTTGTACCTCTGGTAGAATTCGGCTGTGAATCCACCTGGTCCTGGACTCTTTTTGGTTGGTAAACTATTGATTATTGCCACAATTTCTGCTCTTGTTATTGGTCTATTCAGAGATTCAACTTCTTCCTGGTTTAGTCTTGGGAGAGTGTATGTGTCGAGGAATTTATCCATTTCTTCTAGATTTTCTAGTTTATTTGCATAGAGATGTTTGTAGTATTCTCTGATGGTAGTTTGTATTTCTGTGGGATTGGTGGTGATATCCCCTTTATCATTTTTTATTGTGTCTATTTGATTCTTCTCTCTTTTTTTCTTTATTAGTCTTGCTAGCGGTCTATCAATTTTGTCAATCCTTTCAAAAAACCAGCTCCAGGATTCATTAATTTTTTGAAGGGTTTTTTGTGTCTCTATTTCCTTCAGTTCTGCTCTGATTTTAGTTATTTCTTGCCTTCTGCTAGCTTTTGAATGTGTTTGCTCTTGCTTTTCTAGTTCTTTTAATTGTGATGTTAGGGTGTCAATTTTGGATCTTTCCTGCTTTCTCTTGTGGGCATTTAGTGCTATAAATTTCCCTCTACACACTGCTTTGAATGCGTCCCAGAGATTCTGCTATGTTGTGTCTTTGTTCTCGTTGGTTTCAAAGAACATCTTTATTTCTGCCTTCATTTCGTTATGTACCCAGTAGTCATTCAGGAGCAGGTTATTCAGTTTCCATGTAGTTGAGTGGCTTTGAGTGAGATTGTTAATCCTGAGTTCTAGTTTGATTGCACTGTGGTCTGAGAGACAGTTTGTTATTATTTCTCTTTTTTTACATTTGTTGAGGAGAGCTTTACTTCCAACTATGTGGTCAATTTTGGAATAAGTGTGGTGTGGTGCTGAGAAGAATGTATATTCTGTTGATTTGGGGTGGGGAGTTCTGTGGATGTCTATTAGGTCCACTTGGTGCAGAGCTGAGTTCAATTCCTGGGTATCCTTTTTGACTTTCTGTCTCGTTGATCTGTCTAATGTTGACAGTGGGGTGTTAAAGTCTCCCATTATTAATGTGTGGGAGTCTAAGTCTCTTTGTAGGTCACTCAGGACTTGCTTTATGAATCTGGGTGCTCCTGTATTGGGTGCATATATATTTAGGATAGTTAGCTCTTCTTGTTGAATTGATCCCTTTACCATTATGTAATGGCCTTCTTTTTCTCTTTTGATCTTTGTTGGTTTAAAGTCTGTTTTATCAGAGACTAGGATTGCAAGCCCTGCCTTTTTTTGTTTTCCATTTGCTTGGTAGATCTTCCTCCATCCTTTTATTTTGAGCCTATGTGTGTCTCTGCACGTGAGATGGGTTTCCTGAATACAGCACACTGATGGGTCTTGACTCTTTATCCAACTTGCCAGTCTGTGTCTTTTAATTGGAGAATTTAGTCCATTTACATTTAAAGTTAATATTGTTATGTGTGAATTTGATCCTGTCATTATGATGTTAGCTGGTGATTTTGCTCGTTAGTTGATGTAGTTTCTTCCTAGTCTCGATGGTCTTTACATATTGGCATGATTTTGCAGCGGCTGGTACTGGTTGTTCCTTTCCATGTTTAGCACTTCCTTCAGGAGCTCTTTTAGGGCAGGCCTGGTGGTGACAAAATCTCTGAGCATTTGCTTGTCTGTAAAGTATTTTATTTCTCCTTCACTTATGAAGCTTAGTTTGGCTGGATATGAAATTCTGGGTTGAAAATTCTTTTCTTTAAGAATGTTGAATATTGGCCCCCACTCTCTTCTGGCTTGTAGGGTTTCTGCCGAGAGATCTGCTGTTAGTCTGATGGGCTTCCCTTTGAGGGTAACCCGACCTTTCTCTCTGGCTGCCCTTAACATTTTGTCCTTCATTTCAACTTTGGTGAATCTGACAATTATGTGTCTTGGAGTTGCTCTTCTCGAGGAGTATCTTTGTGGCGTTCTCTGTATTTCCTGAATCTGAACGTTGGCCTGCCTTGCTAGATTGGGGAAGTTCTCCTGGATAATATCCTGCAGAGTGTTTTCCAACTTGGTTCCATTCTCCACATCACTTTCAGGTACACCAATCAGACGTTGATTTGGTCTTTTCACATAGTCCCATATTTCTTGGAGGCTTTGCTCATTTCTTTTTATTCTTTTTTCTCTAAACTTCCCTTCTCGCTTCATTTCATTCATTTCATCTTCCATTGCTGATACCCTTTCTTCCAGTTGATCGCATCGGCTCCTGAGGCTTCTGCATTCTTCACATAGTTCTCGAGCCTTGGTTTTCAGCTCCATCAGCTCCTTTAAGCACTTCTCTGTATTTGTTATTCTAGTTATACATTCTTCTAAATTTTTTTCAAAGTTTTCAACTTCTTTGCCTTTGGTTTGAATGTCCTCCCGTAGCTCAGAGTAATTTGATCGTCTGAAGCCTTCTTCTCTCAGCTCGTCAAAATCATTCTCCATCCACCTTTTTTCTGTTGCTGGTGAGGAACTGCGTTCCTTTGGAGGTGGAGAGGCGCTCTGCTTTTTAGAGTTTCCAGTTTTTCTGTTCTGTTTTTTCCCCATCTTTGTGGTTTTATCTACTTTTGGTCTTTGATGATGGTGATGTAGAGATGGGTTTTTGGTGTGGATGTCCTTTCTGTTTGTTAGTTTTCCTTCTAACAGACAGGACCCTCAGCTGCAGGTCTGTTGGCATACCCTGCAGTGTGAGGTGTCAGTGTGCCCCTGCTGGGGGGTGCCTCCCAGTTAGGCTGCTCAGGGGTCAGGGGTCAGGGACCCACTTGAGGAGGCAGTCTGCCTGTTCTCAGATCTCCAGCTGCATGCTGGGAGAACCACTGCTCTCTTCAAAGCTGTCAGACAGGGACATTTAAGTCTGCAGAGTTTACTGCTGTCTTTTTGTTTGTCTGTGCCCTGCCCCCAGAGGTGGAGCCTACAGAGGCAGGCAGGCCTCCTTGAGCTGTGGTGAGCTCCACCGAGTTGGAGCTTCCTGGCTGCTTTGTTTACCTAAGCAAGCCTGGGTGATGGCGGGCGCCCCTCCCCCAGCCTCGCTGCCGCCTTGCAGTTTGATCTCAGACTGCTGTGCTAGCAGTCAGTGAGATTCCATGGGGGTAGGACCCTCTGATCCAGGTGTGGGATATAGTCTCGTGGTGCGCCGTTTTTTAAGCCGGTCTGAAAAGCGCAATATTCGCGTGGGAGTGACCCGATTTTCCAGGTGCGTCCGTCACCCCTTTCTTTGACTTGGAAAGGGAACTCCCTGACCCCTTGAGCTTCCCAGGTGAGGTAATGCCTCACCCTGCTTCGGCTCGCGCACGGTGCATGCACCCACTGGCCTGCGCCCACTGTCTGGCACTCCCTAGTGAGATGAACCCGGTACCTCAGATGGAAATGCAGAAATCACCCGTCTTCTGCGTCACTCACGCTGGGAGCTGTAGACTGGAGCTGTTCCTATTCGGCCATCTTGGCTCCTCCTCCCTCTCTTTTTTCTTATTATTTTATATTAAGTGTTTTAGGTCATTGATTTTACAATGTATCCTTTGGATTACAGATCATTTCAAAGGAATTATAATAATGTGGACTGGAAGATAAACTGACATTGAAATATAACATTATCCAGAATGGTTGGGATATTATGTTTTGGGGGTAGAAGGAGGTACCTTTGCAGAAGCACCTTACTCAATGGCAGCATAGAGGTGTTATTTTCTAAAGGAGTTTCCAAAATATACAGCTGGTCCTCGAATAGCATTGTTTCATTAAATGTCATCTTGTTATAAGGTTAATGAGAAAAAAAAAAAAAAACTCAATTCCAGGCCAGGGCCACTGTCTGTGTGGAGTTTGTATGGTCTCCCCATGTGTGCGTGGATTTTCTCTGGCTTCCTCCCACATCCCAAGCAATGCTGCTTTGGTGAACTGGCATGTCTACAAGGTCCCAGGAGGAGTGAGTGTGGGTCTGCATGTGCGTGTGTCCTGTGACGGGACGGAGTCTTACCCAGAGTGGTTCCCACCTTGCACCCTGACCTGTCTGGAAAGGCTTCAGCTACCTATGAATCTGAATCTCCATCACTGGGCAAATAATGATCTTACTTGTGCTTATTAACCTTTCCTAAATGTATGTACAGCTCACATTTATTTCAATATTTAATATTAGAAGTGTTTTGGTCTTTATTTAGAAATTTAGTGGGTGTTAAGGCCAGAAATATGTCATAGAATATTTGAGAGAATATGAAGTTGTAATTTCATATTATATGAAATGCCATATAATATGTCTCATTATATGACATTTCATTTAGACTGGCAGTTTCCAAGAACTTATCAACGATGTTAAGTGAGGACTTACTGTAGAGAAGTGTGTTTATAAATGTTGAGTAGCTAAAGGACTTAAATGTTCCACTCATTTACCTATTATCTTGAGCTGAAAAATCTACATTTATATACTTTCATCTGAGATGCTGGGAGTAGGAGTATATTTCTCCTTTACTGCATGGGTTTCCATTAGTTTCTGTCTAATATAATAAAATAGAATAAATTTATTCAATTTCCCCTTAGAATAAAATTAAAAATCAAAAGGATGGGAGACTAGACTTCATTAAACATTCTAAATAAAATGTCAAATCAAGGAGAACTTGAGGCAGGTACGTGAGAAGAATAAAGGAAGAATAAGCATTAAAATAAAATAATAAAAATTGCCCAAGCAGAAGAGGTCTGAGCAAGTGCTGGAGATACTGAGCTTTTATCTGTAGCTGGCTCTTGCATGCACCATATATGCTTTTGTATTACTCCATATTAATTCTAAGGCTGATATTTAGGCATTAAAATGAAATTCTAAAATGCCTTTCATACAAGTTACTTCCTTGCCAGAAGCAATTGATGACACCACATTTTCCTTACAGCGTTCTTCATCTCCACCTTTCTCAGCATGTAGATAAGAAGACTGAACATGGGAGCAATGATGGCACAGAAGAGAACAAACACTTTATCTTCTGGAAAAGTTATGGCTGGTCTGATGTAAATGAAGAGGGCAGGCACAAAGAATAGGACCACAACTATTATGTGAGAGCTACAGGTTGAAAGAGCTTTGGTATGACTCTCAGCAGAGTAAACCCTGATGGTGGATAATATCAAATAATAAGACACCATCAAAATCACAAAAGCCAACAAAGAAATCAGGCCTGAATTAACAATTACCAAGAAACCAATTCTGTATATATCAATGCGAGCCAACTTCAGCAGAGGATACACATAGCAGAAGTACTGATCTATCTCATTAAGACCACAGAACGGTAAGAAGATGGTAAGAAGAAACTGACTGGCAGAGTGTATAAATCCCCCAGTACAACAAGCTATGATGATGGTGTTACAGCTTTGCTTGGTCGTGATGATGGTGTAGTGCAGGTGCTTGCAGATGGCTATGTAGTGGTCATAGGCCATTGCTTTGAGTATGAAGATCTCAATGTCTCCAAGGAAGTGAGTGATAAATAGCTGTATCATGCAGTTATTATAGGAAACGATCTTCCTTTCTGTTAGTAGGTCAATCATTAGCTTGGGGGCCACAGTGGATATGTAGCAAAGATCTGAGAGTGCGAGGTAATTAAGGAAGAAATACATGGGTTGGTCAATTAGCTAAATGTACATGATAGAAATCATTATGATGAAGTTTTCCATCCAAATAGCAATGTAGCAAAATACAAATAATACAAACCAAAAAACTTCAATGTTCTTGTTTTGAGAAAGTCCCAGGAGAATAAAGACAGTGACAATATTCCTATTTTCCATGAACCAGTGCAGAAAGAATGCATAAAAGCCACCTGAAAGGACATTAAGCATAAGTCAGTGTCAGAAATGTCATGGAGAGTATTGATGATAATACTAATATTATGCAACTATGTTTAAGGGATATGATTACAGAATTTCAGACAATGAAAACTGATATTTAATAAAAATATTTTCTTTTTCTAATTAGTACCATGATGATTTCTAGAAGTCATTTTTGGGACATTATAACATTGATAAAATGAATGCATTCAATCAGTCAATTTAAAAAATGTTTAAATAAATGTATTCAATCCATTTTAAACACGGTTAAAGAATCATTATTCATTGCCAAACATTTCCCAATATGCAATTAACTTCTCACAAAGAATGTGGTCATGAATCCTTATAAACTCAAATTTGGTTACAGATGAAAGTATGTCATGAATATTTATTTTCTTACAAATGTAAAGTTTAACTGTGAAATATGTGGTGGAAAATATGTTATACCTCAAATCATTTTAGAGTGATGTAGAAAACCAAATTAAGGATTAACGTAATTACATATATATATATATATATATATATATATATATATATATTCACAAGGTGAAAAATAAAAAACTCTCAGCAAGAAGCTCATGCAATTGGTTATAGTAAACTTGGATTGCTTGCTTTCCCTTTCCTTATTTTTTATTTTGACAGTAAAATGCTGATCCTTTATAACAGAAATAGGTTTATTTCTGTAGGCACTTCAGTTAGAATCATAGACTTAAATAAACCACAGAATAAAGCAGCAGTTAAAACTAACATAGAGGAGCAGAAGGCAGCTTTACCTGGATGGTTTTGCTCTTGACTTTGTATATTTTGTAAGTCAATTTTTTCTGTTTCTTGAATTGGAATCTGTATTTCTATTCCCTATTTTGTCCAACTAATGCTTCTTGTCAAAATCCATGAAAAGTCCTCACATTGAATAAATCCAGCTACAAAGTTTTTTGGAAGTTTATGAGAAAAGGTTTATGTGCAGACACATTTTCAGTAGAACCTGGATTCTGTTACCTAATTATATTACAGTGTGTGAATATGGATACAAATCACTTCATTTCTCTGAGTTAAAGTTATCTCATTTATAAATGAGGAAATTGGCCTGGACATTATCACAAAATGGTTGTGAAGCCAAAATAAATCTTTATTAACCAGAGACTATTAACATCTGAATTTTTTATTTAAACGCTAGAGTTACCAAATCAATACTCTAACAGTCATCAAGAGTACAGTCCAGTTAATTTTATTCCCATGAAGAAAATAACATCTTAGGATTATAAAATTATTTAAGCAATAAGAAAACTTTGAGGTCCCTTAGTCAAATCCCCTAGTTCTAAATGGAAGAAATTTTAACTAAAGTCAAATATAGAGTGAAAAAAGTTTGAACATCCTCATGAATCTGCAAATATTAAATCAACAGGATTTGTTCTATGAAAATCTAGGCAATGTAGTTGGGGTTGACCAGAGCTCCTGGTAATTTAGTTTAAGTCTCAAAACTGTTGGTAAAATAACAGAATTTTTAACCAAATAGTCTAATTGTCTTTACTATAAATTTGACCCTAAATATCATTAGTATTATCATTTTTGCTTAAAATTTGAGCTGTATCCTCTGCCATAATCTTGTAGCTGTCTTTTTTGTCCATTAACTGTTAAATTTCCTGCTCACCTCTTCTTTTAGAGGTTGTTAACTGTGCCATTCTCCAAATTAATTTTAAAAATATAACAAAAATGAGGCCTTCAAACAACTCAATTTATTTAAGGTGCAATTCCAAGATTTAGAATTAGCCATTGAAAAGTAATTGTTCTTATATGCCTCCAATTATACTGTCGGCATGTAATATACTTACAGGTGGGAAAATTTCTTTACCTATAAAGAGGATATTTTCATTTTAAAATAATATTTAAGTGACTGGCTTTGACAATTCATTATTTATTGGTTCATATCAATAGACATAAACAAATCCATTATTTTAATCATGGGCATGGAGACGAAAAAACCCACCTGACTTGTTTTTCCCAAAAACCTAAATAAAAATTGTGGTTCATACATGAACTAACGTCTCTCAAGAAATTAAGATTGTTAGAGTATCAGGGCAAAGTCAAACAATTATTCTATCTTCATTTATGTACATGAAATAAAGTTTTCTACTAACTAGATATTGTCTGACCTTTGAACTAACAATATTTCTAAATACCTGTTTGACTCTCCAGTTGCTCCATTCTTAAGGCCAAAGCTAAGGCTTTATTTCCCATGTTATCAATCCTCCCTTTATCTTCAACTTCCTCATGCACATCTGGTTAACTGTATATCTACTACCATCTATATTTCTAGCTTCTTAATTTTAGAGTTTTAGTTGACATCACGTTTCTATTCTTGACGCAGCCATCAATTCTAAATGTGTACTCTTCATTTCATTTCCTTCCACACTGTAAAATTTGAGACATAATTTATCCTCATATAAATCAGATAGTTCAAAGTTTTAAATTTAAAGATATATGTTGAACTTTGAAAAGAAAAAAACACTATGCAGATGACTATGCTATTACGCTCAGTTTGATGGACATCCAAGAGTAATAATATTTTAGAAATGTAAAAATTAATTAAGGTTTTCCTGAAAAAGTATATACAGATTATCAAACTAGTATGCAGCAAATCAGAACTTGAAATCAGATTTTGTTGAATCCAGAGCCTGAGCTCATACATAAAAGATGTAGAACCAAAACAGTAGAACAGATTTAATATAAAATTCTCTACTCATTTCATAATTATTTTATTCTTTTGTGCAAATCAGATAACCTCCAGAGCTATTGGCCTTGAGCTAAAAGCCCTTATAATTTTGATATGCGGATGACAAAATGAGATAATAAATTAAACCAAACTCTCTAAGTCTATAAAATATAGACTTAATATATAACATGTAATTAATAAATATTTCATACTGTTATTGTTTAAAATAGAGGTTCTCAATGATGCAAACATTTCAATTTTTAATGTATGCCAAAGTAAACTCTATGCATCCTTGATTTTCATGATCCTAAATCCCTCAAGGACAGAGACTGTTTTATGCTCTGTCTTGAAATATTAAGAAGTGCTTGTACAAATTTAAATTTGAATTCTACTCACCCCTCCGTGATCTGTGTAATTTGGGGTATGTAATACTTTTTTCTCAGATTGTTGTATTACTAATGAGTATACTGCTGATGAGTAATTTATTTCCAGTTTTATTGAGGTAATTAACTAGATAAAGTGCATGAAAGTGTCAATAAGTCCATCTTTGCCACTCCATAAATAATTATTTCCAAGACTTTTATTTTTGTTTGTCTCTTATGAAATACAGGCTACCATTCATTTACACAACAATCAGCAAATACTTGTCGAATTATTAAAATAAATAACTTCAATGACTTAAAATATTATAAAAATAAATTATTCAATAATTAAAATCATTACCATACATTAATTACAGGCAACAAGGGCAGGGAACAAAGTAAATAGGATAACGTACACACAGACCCAATTTTGAGTTATTTCCATTTGATTGTTTAGTGACCTTCCTAGGGTATCTGACTGGTTAATTCTTGGGTGGACTTTTTTTTTTTTCTTTAGAAGAATGAGGAATAATGATTATGGTAGTGGTTATTGCAGTGATCTTACATGTCCTTTCAGTTATGGTCTTCTCATTTCTTTTTATTAAAAAAACTTTTATTTTAGATTCAATGGTACATGCGCAGGTTTGTTATGTGTGTTCGCTTTGTGATGCAGAGCTTTCAGGTATGAATGATCCTGTCACCCAGGTCGTGAGCATAGTACTCAATAGGTAGTTTTTCAATCCTTGCCCCCTCTAGTACTTCCCAGTGTTTACTGTTCCCATCTTTATGTCCATATGTTCTCTTTGTAACCTATGAATCACGCTTTTTCTTGATCAATACTTTGTTGACATTCTACCAGAAATTCTACTACTGTATTTTTTTTGTTTGAAATTTGCTACCCAGTTAAGCATCATTCTCTATCACTATCTATCTATCCCTTTAGGACATCATGTTACATCCTCATTGGGCAACTATTTGAATGTATTGCTGCCCTAAGCTAAAAAAAAAATGATCTATCAAATTCTGAGAGGATGGCTATATTTAAATTTAACTGACAGTCAGTCTGTGTTCTATAAAAAGGAGACAAAAATATATGCAACAAAGACCACACAGTTAGGCAGGATAATAGGAAGGGAAAAATAATTTACCACATATGTTGTAATTGTTTTGATTGTACACTAACCATCAGTAGCTCTGATTCAATTGTTCTGCTTCAATTGTTGTGAATCCATTCCTGTTCCTTCCTTTCCAGTGTTTTCTCTCTGTCCTCATTGAAATTCTGTTCATTCTCCTGTTATTTAGATTATTTCATTTCAGCTTCTTGAATGCCATATTTTACTTAGCTCAGTCTATTAGCAATTCATGGAAACAACAGTGTATCATTTTAGAGATAACTGACAGCTGTTACAATGGGAATTCGTATGCTCAGAGCAACAGTTTGAAGGTAAGTGGAATAATTTGAATATCCAAATAAGGCAAAACACAATCTATATATGCATCACTAAAATTATTTCTAGAGATGTCCAGACTCATATGATTAACTAAATACTTAAAGTATAAATTTTAAAACTGTGTTCCTTTCATTCTAGAGCATTGGTTATTCCTTGCAAGTTGTTTGAATTTACTTTCTGAAATGGTAAGCTCACCAAGTCCATTTCCTTTAGATTCAAGTTGGCAGGCTTGCTGCAGCTAGGATAGAATCTGGATTATAAATAGTATGCAAGCTGCAATTATCTTTGCATGTGATTTAGGAATCTCAATCATATAGTCTCGGGGGCTCCAATGACTGAACTCTCTTGCACTTTATATAGGGAGTTTTCTGATGAAAAAAAAAAGAACTTTTTTAACGGAAGGACTTATTATTTCCATAATATCCATAAATTGACTGAAGGGAGATGGACATCTCAGGCTTTTATGGTAGATAATGGTCTTCATCTTCCCTCAAAAAATGTATATATTGTGTTCTCTGAGAGAACTATAATAGGTTTTAGTTTGTTTACAAGTGCTAGGTAGAATTTCAGAAAAATATAAACAAACAAACTTTAGTATTCTTTTGTGTGGATATGTAAAACTTCCATTAAAAGAATTTGGAAAAATATAGAACATATTTTAATTTTTTAAAAGAACATGTTTTAATTTTTTCCCAAGCCCTTACATCATTTTCATATTTCTTTCTTTCTTTTCTTTCCTCTTTTAACTCTATATATAATGTTAGAGCTGACTTCCAAGTGCTATGTGAGCAGAATAAACCATGGCAAATGCATGTTGAGTATTTATTAGGCACCATATCCTAAGCACTCTGGTTTAATCTTCCCAGTGACCTGATGAGATGGGCTCTAAGAGTGTAAGGAGAAGGGAAGGAGTGAGGCCAGAAAGGATGTCGAGTGGCTTTGGAGATCATGAGAGTAGTCTGCTTCTTGATTCATGTGACAGTTACAGGGATACTTCCACTGTAATTCTCTCTGTCTCTTCTTTTTTCTTCTGAAGTCTTTATGTGAGATATTTAATAATTTGTAGAAGTGAAAAACATGTCAGACAATTCTAAAGCCATATCCAAGGCATTAAAGCTGCCTAGGGCAGGTTATGGGGCTTGATTTGACTCCAAAGAATTAATTTGAAAGTCATTCTAGGTATTCTATTTTTGTCTAGTCTATTTCCAACACTCCTAAGGTCATCTTTTTTCAAACATTACTACACTTTTATTCTGGATGTCTCCTCCAGTCTATGTAGCATTCCCACAATTATTTCTCTTCTAAACACACAGAGGTCTTTCCATGAGATCCCCTCTGATCGTCCCCTTCTCTGGCCCTACAGATACTCTTCAAGCTCTGATTTGGGGTCCTTGCATTGGTAACTTTGCAGACTTACTTTCTCATTCATTTGCTCAAATGAATTCTCCTTTCTCCAGTGAAAAAAAATCTACATTTATCCTTCTATGTTGGCTTTTTTTTAAAAAAAAGGGAATTAAAAAATGCGTATAAAATATATTCTCCCTCTAGTTTGAGGCAAACATTATTAAGGTATATGTGTGCACATTGATAAAACAAAATTGGTTCATGCTGTACATGCATTTTTAAGCTACTTTTCTAGTTATCAGAGTAGTACTACTCTTGAAAAATACAAATAAAAAATTTATCTTTTTCTCTTTCTAATAATAATTACATCCAATATTTTAGAATGTTTTAATATAATATTTGATCTTTGAATTTTTGCAAATTTGTTTATTGCATGTATTTTATACTTTCATATAATGAATTTTTTATTCCTCAATTTTTAAATAATAGTAAAAAAATATTTCCTTGTGCATTAAGTTCTTGGTAGAAAATATATTGCTTAAGGAATTACTGTCTGAGTGATGAAATGCAAAATTTTAATGAAATTCCTGTGCCAATAGTATATTGGCCAAATTTGAAATATAACTATAAAATAAGTAATTCCTTTTACTTGCTAACACCATCAAAGTGGGAATTAAAGGTTTCTTAGAGGCTGGTTGCATTAGAAAAGTTTCAACATTTATAGTAGAATTTGAGGGATCAGTGTAAACATAAGTAGGCTATGACACAAAAATGAGGAATGACTTAAACTCATCAAGCATGATATGAACAAAGATGGTGAATGTTTATCAGTAAAAATACTTTTTAGAATTTTTATTCAAAACGACATGTAGGTAGTGTATATTATGAAGCCAAACAAATGTGAAGATGTCATTTTATTTCCTACACTTATTAAAGACAGTAAGACTAGAAATAAAGTTTATCATTCTCAACCCTTTTTCTCTAGAAAACTGTAGACATTACTACAATGTTTTCTAACACTTGGTATTAGAGAAGTGGTAAAACCTAACACGATATTCATTTCTTTATTGGTGACTTGTCCCAATTATGATGTATATACTCCTTCAATATAAATTTGCTATAAATTGACTTCTTTATAATTTTCTCTCCCTTTCCTTCTCTTTTGTGTGTATTACTGTTTTTTTTTTTTTTTTTTTTTTTTTTTTGAGACAGAGTCTCGCTGTGTCACCGAGGCTGGAGTGCAGTGGCACGATCTCGGCTCACTGCAACCACTGCCTCCCAGGTTCAAGCGATTCTCCCGCCTCAGCCTCCCGAGTAGCTGGGATTACAGGCATGAGCCACTGCGCCTGGCCCCAGTGATGCTTTAAAAGGATAATGGAGAAGTGGCTTTTGCAGCTCACAGAGGACAGATTTGACCATCTTTTATTTTCCACGTTTTAAGCAAAATTCCCTGTGTACTTTTTCATTACATAGTTTATATTAGAGTGCCCATCATGTAAGATTTAGTTGACTATCTTCTCCGGAAGTAAAGCTCAATAATAAAAATACTATTTTTTTTAATATCTGAAAACCACTTTCAGTCTACTTCATTCTTACAGAATGCTAGAAAGGTTTTCGAGTTTCCATGTGCAAATTTCAGATGCAGATTATTTTTGAAATACACCATCAGCCTCAGAATTGCTTACTCTATATGACATAGACAGCATTCCTCTAGCCCAGAATAATTTCAAAATATATATACTCTTCCAAATTTCAGATACACTTGTGAAATTGTGATTTTGCTGATACACTTCAGTCCATTTCTGGCAATTATAAGTGAATGAATTGGATTCAAAGATTTAAAACCTGACTCAGTCATGGTATAGAATCATTTTATATATTCCTTGTTTTTTATCCAAGAATGTGTCTTAGGATATTTTCTTCTATGTCTATGAGACAAATTGGTTTGAAATTTGTTCTTCTTAAATTGTCCTTGTCTAGTTTCGGTATCAATGTATGTTTCGTGTTGTGTTTGTCCTAGAAAAGCTAAAGCTGAGTTAACACTGGAAAATAAATCAATATAATTCACCACCTTAACAGATTAAAGGGAAGAAGGAAACTAAATGTTGCCATCTCAATAGATCCAGAAAAATAATTTGATTAAAGACATCATTCATTCGTGATGAAACAACTTGTAGAAAATTAGGAGTGGATGAGACTGTCCAAGAGAGTTTTAGATATAATTTTGGACACAACCGAATCTTTCCCGGTAAGTCACAAAACTGGAATTTATAAATGGAAATGGTGATATATATTGGTACGTAAAGACTGAAAAAGATTCAGATAAATGCATTCTAGTGTTTGGTGTCACAGTAGGATGACTGCAGGTAACAATAATTTAATTATTATATATTTCAAAATAGCTGGAGGAGAAGAATTAAAATGCTCCCAACACAAAGAAATAATAAATGTTTGAGGTGACGGAAATCATAAATACCCTGCTTTGATCATTACACATTGTATGCATGTATCAACATATCACGTGTAGGTCATAAATATGTACCACTATTATGTATTAATAAAAAATGTATAGAGACAAAAAGGAGATTAGTCATTGCCAGAAACTGGGGGAAGGGGCATTGGAGAGTTAGTGTTAAAGAGCAGAGAGGTTTAGTTTGGAAAGAAGAAAAAGTTCTGGAGCTGGATGGTGATGATGGTTGAACCACAAAATGAATGTAAAGCCACTGAACTGTACACTTAAATGATTAAAATGGTAAATTTATGTTATACATATTTTACCACAGTAAAATTTTAAACTAGAAAAGGAAAAAATTTATAACCTAACAGCAGTCGTTGGAGACATGTACACTTTTCCTGCTGCATAAAGTTCTTTAGTACACTAAGTAGGACAAATCAGCTGTTTTTCTTCTGAAAATGATATTTGGTACCAAACTTTTCTCATGGCCTTTTTCATCTCTGTATTTCTCAGGTTATAGATTAGGTGGTTGAACATTGGAGCAATAATAGTGTAAAACAGAGCAGATATTTTGTCCTCAGGAAAAGTGAGAAGGTCTAAGGTAGGCAAAGATTGAAGGTTCGAAGAAAAAGATTACCATGGTGATATGAGATCCACAGGTAGAGAGGGCTTTGCATCTTCCCTCTACTGAATGATTTTTTAAGGGGAATAGTATAATGACATAAGAGCCAAACGACAGAACAAGGTTACCAAGGCAAACATTCCAGAATTGGCAACCACGAGGACACCAGTGATGCAGGTATCAGTACAAGCGACTTTCAGTAAAGGAAAAATATCTTAATATTAGTCATCAATTTTGTTGGAGCCACAGAAAGGCAACCAGATTTTCATAGAAAACTGAAACAAAGAATGGAAAGCCCCAACAGCCAAGCAACCGAGATTAGAGTATTGTATTTTGTCCTATTCATGATAATTAGGTAGCGGGGAGGTTTGCAGATGGCAACATAGTGATCAAAAGCCATGACTGTAAGGATGAAGATTTCAATGATTCCAAAGAAGTGCATGGGAAAGACTCCTATCATAGGAGATGTTTATTCTTCCCACTACTAGATCACCAATTATTTTGGGTGTGACACAGGAGGTATAGTAGATATTCATATAGCCTGAAGAAATAGTGCATTGGTTGGTTAAAAAGAGGACTACATCAAATAGAGATAAGGATCAGAAAGTTTCCCACCAAGATGGCAACATTACAAAATAAGAACACAAAAACAAATATTTGTATGTTCTGGATAGAGGAAAGGCTCATGAGTATGAATTTTTATATGTTCCTTTGACTTTCCATATGTTGTGTGCTATGCAAAAATAAAGTATCTAGGGAAAAATGAATTTGGATTAAAACATTTACAATGTAATCACAATCATGTAAAACTATCAACAGATCGTGGAATCTAGTTACACAAATCACTGAAGTTAATTCAGAATCAATATATTAACTATATTTGTTCTTAGAAATCATAACTGATTTCTCTAATAGTTTTTGAAACATTTTTCCAAATACTGTGTCACATTAGTAACGTAAGAATATACTTTATTGTTTGAAAATATAATGATTTAAAAAAATACTAGTTCTTCAGAACAATATATATCACTATTCTTATTTGTAACATTTAGAATCAACAAAAATTAATTAAATGCACATGGAAATTTCATTTATAATTTTTAATTCTGTTCCTTATTCATAACAGGGTTTTCATTTTAGGTAATTTTCCCTTCTCCCAGCATAGAATGTAACACTTCCCTGAACCGTGTGCAGACACATGATCAAGGAATGCATTTACATCTAAAAAATTTGCCTAAACTGAGCTGCATGATTAGTGGGCAATGTTCTTTGAAATGCAAGTGCAGGGGCCTTGGGAGTTGGGCACTGCATATTGAACTTGAGAAAATAACTTTGCTAGCTATGTTATAAGGCAAAATATAGTTGAAAATACAGCAAAAAGTTGGAGTTTTTCTGTCAGTTACTTACATTTTTAAATGGAAATATTGTTTATACCTATTATTTAAACTTTACTGTAAAAGATAATGTTTTAAGATAAACTCAAGAGTCATTAATATTAATGCTGCAAAGAAAGAAAGAAAACATAAATGCATAGGTCATTTGCATTCTTCACAATGTGTGTTCTGGCTGTACTAGAATAAATTATAGGCACCAAAAGTCAATAAAAGATAGAGTTATCACACAATGTAACTGTAAGATAAACTGTCGTCAGGACGTACTCAGTTGTTATATGTTGCATGATTTATTTTTCAGCTTTGCATGTTATTTTGTATATGATCAGGGCTGGACATACACAAAGGCAATGGAAGAATGTACTACAGACAGCATGCATTTCCAAATTCTATTCTCTTCATTCTTGAGGAATTACACAGCATCCATGTGGACTTTTTACCTTACTCCTAGATCAGATATGGCAACCATATCTGGACTCCACAGATACTAAATTATTAATAATGCAAAACTGTTCAGTGCAATAAGATGTATGATGTAATAAGTTCAGCATTTTCTAAATTGTGTAGCTGTATTACTAGTGATATTTAAGATTATTTGATGGTTAACAGATATAGCTTTAGAATACATTGTATACTACACTAAGAGTATAATTCCTGTTTCAATTTAGCTCGGTATCTTTGATAACATTATGAAGGGAAAGTCAAAATTGATCATTTTCTGTCAATATCTCTTTAATACTTTTTAGTCTCCTTTTTTAACACAAAGACATCAGGTATTATCCTCAAAATTATGAAAAAGTTATACTAGTCCTATAACATTTGATAACTTTTTCTTATTTCTTTAAATATATTGTCATAGTTAACAGCATTCTTTAATATAAATTTATATAAAATGGAAGTGATCTTGAAAAGAAATATTAAATAATAAGTGTGTCTAGCTATGAGCATGATTTAATAATTAAAATACCCACCTAATCTAACCATATTCTTCTCAGCATAGAAGGAACCAATTACAAAAAACTGAGTGAATTTCCTAGATCAAAGAACTAATAAACTTTAGAAGTTTGAAAACTAGATTTTCTAAATCTTACTCAGTTTATTGCTTGCTCCAATAAGGAAGAAGGCATGTATTAGAGAAGATAGCAGTGGGAGGAACTACCATACTTCTCAGCTTATGACAGGTAATAGACTCTCGGATCTTTGTAAAACATACCACTATAATTATAAAACTAAATGTATGATGTAGCAGCTCTCTGCTATGGAATCATTACAAAGTATTAGGCTTTCAATTTAACTACTATAACACTTAATATTTCATCCTGTACACATATGGTAATAAGTTATGATTTGTGGAGGTAATGCCGGATTGGCAATGGGAAAAACTTCAATATTTTAAAACAATATTCTCAAATTTCAGTCTCAATGTTCCATACCAATAGAGTAAAAAGACTTGCCTTATACTCTTTTCAAATAACATGAATAGAGAAAAATTCATTTAATCTTCAGAAACTGTGCTTTTAGTTTTAAAGTCATGAAATACCAAGTCTGCCAGTAAAAAAAAAAAAAATAAGAATTTGGATTAATCTATAAATATTTGGATATTTATATACATAATTTTTTTTCACTGAACTACTACACAATTAAATATGTTATTCTTTAAGAAACACTCATTACTATCCTGGTACCAAAACAGTAATTGTTGTTCCTATGGATTGATGCAGTCTTATGTCTATTTTGATTAGGAATTTATTCTAAACCAGATGTCGCATGCTTTGAACATAATAGAAATTCATTTACTATTTGTGGTAGCTGTGTTATTGAATACTTGAAATTTTAAAGAGTTTTAACTGGAGATCATAATACTAGGGATTGCTAATTTCTCTAAGAATGTTTCACTTTAAGTTTTCATTTAAATGATAATTTCAAAACATATATAAGTATGTTCTGAGTCATCTTACAATCAATTTATAACCAGGCATAACCACATAATTTCAGTGTTCAAGTGTAATTGCTATATTGATGGCTTTAAGCACTGCTATATTGTGATTGGAGGATAAGAAGCAAGCAGGCATGAATTATAGTCCATTATAAACTCACATTCTGGCTTACATTGAAGGGGCTTTTTTTTTTTTTTTGTCAAAATGAAGCAGTCCATGAGAGGCTGTCTCTCTCTTGGAATTAAAAAATTCAGTGTTTCCCTGCAAATTGAATACTTAACCCTTACCCACAGTTGCCCCAGGGTGAAGCAACAAGAAGATGAAACACTGGCAGGTAATTCCTGAAACTTTCTCCCATTATATACATTTTCATGAACTTTAAACATTATTGGTATGAGTTTTGATAGTTAACGCAATGGAAAAATACTCAGAATGTTGAGTAAGGAATTTCACTTTTGTCTGTAACATGAAATATCAGAATTTCCTCCTTCTATCCTCCTTCTAGGAATACAGGATTGTAAAGAGAAGAGTGCTGCAATGAACGTACATGTGCATGTGTCTTTATAATGGAACAATTTATATTCTTTTGGGTATATACCCAGTAATGGGATTGCCTGGTCAAATAGTATTTCTGTCTTTAGGTCTTTAAGGAATTGCAACACTGTCTTCCACAATGGTTGAACTAAGTGACACTCTCACCAACAGTGTATAAGTGTTCCTTTTCCTCTACAACCTCACCAGCATCTGTTGTTTTTTTACTTTTTGATAATAGCCATTCTGACTGGTGGGAGATAATCTCATTGTGGTTTTGATTTGCATTTCTCAAATGCAGCCATACAAAATAACAAGATCATGTCCTTTGGAGGGACATGGATGGAGCTGGAGGCTATTATCCTAGCAAACTAATGCAGGAAAAGAAAATCAAATACCGTATGTTCTCATTTATAAGTGGAAGCTAAATGATGAGAACTCATGAACACAAAGAAGGGTATAATAGACAGGGGTCTACTTGAGGGTGGAGGGTTGGAGGAGGGAGAGGGGTAGAAAAAATAACTATTGGGTACTGGGCTTAATACCTGGGTGATGAAATAATCTGTAGAGCAAACCCCCATGACACAAGTTTACCTATGTAACAAATCTGCAAATATAATCTTGAACTTAAAATAAAAGTTAATAAAAGAAAAAAGGGAAAGAAAAGAATGGTCTCATGAATATTCTGACTTCTCTTCTACTTGGAGTAATGCTACATTGTATAAATGAAAAACACAATGACCTAGTGCTATATAGAAATTTTATTCTTTTTTACTCTTTTGCTTGCAACAGTCCCATGTAAATGGTCCAGGCTGGCAGCGCATATCCTCCTTTTCATTCAGAGACTCAGGTTCCTTTCAAACTCTTGCTTGATCACCCCTAGGGCCTTCAGGGTCAAAGTGTGAGCCACATGCTGGAATTATTGCACAATCTTGGGCCCCTCCCTAGACCTGATGAATTGTAATCTGAATTTAACCCTGGGTATTTCATGTATACATACCAATCTGAGAAGCATAGCCACATGGCATGGTTATCTATAACTGTGACACCACCAGCCTGGTATTAGGTGTCAAGAAGGGGCTATGATCTTGAGGAACACACGTCCAACATTGTGGATTTCAGCCTGCAAGTTACACATATTCCTCTGATTACATCCAATTGACAAAAACTTAGTCACAGAGCTACACCTAGATGCATAGGGGCTGAGGAAGGTAGGCACTGCTCAGGTGGTTACCTTTGTATTGCTGCAGAGGAGGGAAGAATGGGCTTTAGTGGACAATTAGCAGTCTCTGCCACAGGTACCTGTCACCAACAGCGTCCACAGAAATATTCCCTACTCAAAATTAAATTCAATTTACTGACTCCCTATTATTGCTGAGAACTATTTTAGGCAGCAGTGAAAAGGAAGCCCTGTCTTTATAGCCCACATTCTTATAGAATATGCCATGTCAAAAGCCCAATAGCAAGTCCAGGTGTTGTATGAGTGTCTGGGATTTGAAAAAAAAAATACATGAATGTTTGTTTAACTAAGGACTGCCTATTTTTTTAAGAAAATGTTTTAACTTTATATTTGAAATACCCTCCAGCAATATAAACTATCTTTTTCCAGGATAGCTTTAATTTCCCAAATCCTTTTTCATTATATCTTGTGGATCTCAGGTCAATTATAAATAGAATTCTCCATAATTTCTCTTATGTGAGCATCTTCTTTATTGTTTTGTTTTCCTGATTCTCCCCTCCATAGGCTGATTCTGCTTAAGTGGATATTGTTTTTCTCCCACAGTTTATATGCCAATGAACCTGAAAACAAGATTTTATTGCCATCATTTTTTATTAATTTTAGCTCATACCCCTTCTCCAGTACACGATTTTACCTATTAAATTCAATTAATTTGTCTATCTCTTCCACTTATTGTACCCAAGGTCTCGGTACAGATGAGTTTACAAGCCTGGAGCTAAACTGGGTTTAAAATTTGGTTTAGCGATTTATCAAGCAAGTAACTTAATCTTTCTGGATTCAGATGCTTCTCTGGCAAAATGATTGATAGCAGTAGTGAACTTATAGATTTGTAATGAGGATTAAAGGAGGTAATGTTTATAAAGTGCTTAGAAAAGTGCCTGGGATATGATAAGTGCTCTATAGATATAAGTCACTATTTTTGGTTTTATTTGCATCTGCTACCACCTTTGTCTGTCACATCAAAAGTGTTTAAATAAACTGAAACATTTTAAAGTATTTTTTGAATCTTCCCCATTGTTCAAAAGCAGGGATCATCTCTATGAAACAACCAAGTTGAGGTTCTCAAGTCATATTGCTTAATAAAATTGGTTGAAAGAGTTCAAACTTTGGAATGAGAAAGACACATTTAAAACCTGGCACTTCACCAACACATTATACTGGAGACAGTAACTCACAGGAAATATTCCATATGCTCTGCTATATTTTATGCTCCCTTTCAGTTAGGTGGAAAAATCTTAGAAATTATCTGCCTGGCCACTGTAGATATATGAAATATGTCTTCATATTGGAAATGCAAGACATGTGAGTGGAGATAATGTGTTTCACATTTAGGCTGAGTCAATAAACATGCTCAAGTCTCCAATATCTTTTGTCTTCTGCCAGGGCAACTGAGGTGTCTGTCTTTCAGTTACAAAATGATGATGTGTTTTCAGCTTGCCCCTATGTTACTAGGTCAGGCAAAGTCCTAAATTGCAAGGAACATGTATGTTGAGTGGTGTTGTTCTTTAGTCTGTCTTGAGTTTCACTCCACACAGGCACACCTTAGTATTCTTAGTATTCAGCAACTATCTCAGGCTGCACTGGACCCTGTGAAGACTGCGTAGCTCCTTCCTCTCTAGTACTCTGCTCCACAGATTACAGCTTCTTCTGCTACCCTGGGCTATGATCTCTGTTTCAACTGTGATGACATGTTGGCTTCTCCGTGCCTAGACCATGGTCCAGAAGTTTCCCCTAGCAGAAGCCTGCGGCAGTCCTAGCACTCCCCTAATTAGTTTCCCTTCTCTAAGGGACTCCCCAGTTCTATATTGCCTAATATTAAAAACAGGTGTCTTATATATTTTGTCTAGGTTTCAGTTACTTATAGCAATAGGGGAGACCAATAACTCCATTGTCTGGAAATTTTAAGCACTATGTTTTCTTAAAAAAGAAAAAATCAGGCTTATTTCATGTTATCTTCTAAAGATGTTTAATATTAATTGCACAAATGATAAACTACTGCACTTGCCTTACTTATCAAAGGAGAACATTACAAGGGAGTACAGTGACCCCTCGGTGTCTGGTTCCAGGGCCACCGTGAATAACGAAATCTGTGGATATTGAAGCCCCATATATAAAATGGCAGAGTATTTGCATATGCCCAGTGTACAACTTGTTGTAGACTTTAAATCATCCCATGATCACTTGTAGTACCTAATACAAGGTAAATGTTATATAAATAATTGCTATACTGTATTTTTAAGTTTGTATTATGTTTTATCGTTATTTTGTCATTTTTTTGGTTTTGGGTTTTTTTTCCCCAAATATTTTTGATCTGTGATTGGTTGATATTGAACCCGTGGATGCAGAGGGCTGACTGTATATGGTTGTCTTTAAACACCACTTCTCTATCACTATCTCCATCACTATCTCCCATGCCCCCACCTTCAGTGTAACTAGATTTTTAAAATATTTTTAGCTTACTCTGTATCTTTCCTTCTTTGTTTCTGGTGTATCCTACACAAATAAAATCCCATAAGTAGTACTTAATTATTTACTTTGTGAAATACTTTTAAATATCTCTTTTTCAAATAGTCATTTTCCTTATACAATTTATTCACCTATTGATTCAAACTTCTAATCACATCACTCATTAAATTATTGAATATATATTATATTATTGATATTTGTTTCTAAGACAATGGGAAGCTAGGGAAGGGTATAAAGCAGTAAAGTATCATAATATCTAATTTGCACAGAATCTGAATCATAAACCCAGTTTTACAATTTTAAAAGCTTCCTCTCTGCCGGGCACAGAGCTCATGTCTGTAATCCCAGCACTTTGGGAGGTAGAGGCAGGGGAATCACTTGCGCTCGGGAGTTCAAGACCAGCTTTGGCAACAGGGTGAAATTCCATCCTACTGAATATAAAAAAATTAGCCGGGTGTCATGGCACGTGCCTGTAGTCCCAGCTACTGGGGAGGCTAAGGCAGAATAATCACCCAGGAGGTGGAGACTGCAGAGCCAAGATAGTGCCACCGCACTCCAGCCTGGGTGACACAGTGAGACTCTGTCTCAAAAAAAGCTTCCTTTGACAGCCACCGAGGAATGGACAGTTTTAGCTCTTACACATTTCTGAAAGAATGACTTCTCCTTTTGGGAAATACATGATGTTCTCAGCATTGCAGTTATTTCCCAGCCAAAGCCTCCCATTTCATCCAGAGTTTCTTCATGGCACTTTTCACCTCTGCATTCCTCAGTGTATAGATCAAGGGATTTAACATGGGTGTGATGATTGAGTCTGACACAGCCATTGCCTTGTCTATGGGGTGAGTGACCACAGGCCTCATGTACAAGAAAATACAGGGGACAAAGAACAATACAACCACCGTGAGGTGGGAGCTGCAGGTAGAGAGGGCTTTGTGCCGCCCTTTAGAGCTGTAAGACTTCAGGGAGCATAGGATGACCGTGTAGGACGCAATTAAGATAAGAAAGATGGCCACACACATCATCCCACTGTTGAGGGTAACTAAGAGGCCCAGGATGTGGGTGTCCGTGCAGGCAAGTGTCAACAACTGAAACAAATCACATATAAAGTGATCTATGATATTAGGACCACAGAAGGGTATTTGATACATGAAGAGAAGTTGTATCATTGCGTGCATAAATCCCCCCACCCAAGCCCCTCCTACCATTAGGCAGCACACCCGTGGACTCATGATGATCGTGTAGTGCAGGGGCTTACAGATGGCCACGTAGCGGTCATAGGCCATCACAGTGAGGAGGATGATCCCCACACCACCAAAGAAATGCTCCACAAACAGCTGGGTGAGGCAGCCTTTGAGAGAGATGGTAGTGCTCTTGGAGAGGGTGTCTACAATCACCTTGGGGGCAACGACAGATGAGAACATGACATCCAAAAGGGACAAGAAGGTAAGAAAAAAATACATAGGTGACCTCAGACTCTGACTTGTGATAATAGTTACCACAATAAGTAGATTTTCCAGCACTGTGGCTACATACATGACAAGAAACACAGCAGAAAATATTTTCCACAGCTCCAGGTTCTCTGTGAGACCCAGAAGAATGAATTCAGTCACATTGTTTTGATTTTCCATTTCTCAGGTGTTGATATGAGTTCCAGCTGAGAGTTGAGAATCCTAAATAAGCAAGATATGATTTATAATTAGTGACTAATTTGGCTTCTTGTATTTCCAGGACCTCAGGGAATTTGTTCTTTGTTTTTACCCATGTATTCTCCATCTAGGCATTTGACTTCTAAGAATGTGCTAAATAAATAATTTAAAAGGGAAATACTTTATTTATGCAAGGCTTCCCCAAGCCTTTTCTCCTCCCTTTCTAAATTGTGTTTCTATGTGAAATAGATTTTTTCCTCCTTGTCCTACCTTTATAATAGTTATTATTAATAGATAACTTTTTTAGCACCTACCTCACCTTGGAGGCAATTCCTTATTCCAGGCATTAGAATAATTCTATGATTGGCTTTGTTTTACAGAAACAGGAACGTACTCTCATACAGTTTAGGAACCTTAAGCAAGGTCACATAGCTCTTCAGTAGTGAAGCTAGAATTTGGACCTTATATTCTGATGCCGGAATCAGTACCCTCAAATATCAATACAGCTTCTCTAGTAATTATGCTGTGAGATTTATCATTCACCAATCACTATGCTAAGTATATTACAATTATTATCCTGCTTATCTTAAAAATAATGTGATGAAGTAGGTTATTCTTGTGCTTTTTAAAAAAATATTGATTCTTTTCCAATTGTGTGCTTTTCTTCTAAATTTTAAATGATCATCATATACCTAAAAGTAGTTACTATATAATCCCTGACTTCATTGTTCAGTAATGAAGATTATAAACCATCATGGTTCAGCAAAACTCCAGATCCCCAATACAACTGACTTGAACCTTGAATTAGCCTGAGTCATTCCTTTCAGTTTCCTCTGTTTCCTAAATGGAACAAAGGATTTCAGAGCATAATGACAACAACTAAGCAATTAGCTTTTAGGCTAACAATGCTGCTGGGCACTATGCCAGATATGTTAGCCATATTATTTCATTTAAACCTCATGATACCACATGAGGTAGGTACCTATACTACTCCCATCGTAAAGAGAGACCAAAGCCCTTAGGAGTTAAATATCTTGCACGAGATTATATAACTATTTTGTGGTGGAGCTGGCATTTTGCTCACACGGCTTCGATTCATACCTAGTATATCCCACCACATGAGAAGAGAAGAATAGATTGTATTTCAGGGAAGTTACTACTGCAACCAAGAGAAAAACCTGCAGTAAAGAATGCCTCATATTACTAGGGACTATAAAGCAGACCTGGATGCCACATCTAAGAAATTTTGCAAAAAGCAAAGCTTCACATTGATATTTGGATTATGCCCCTCTGTTAATGCTAAGAAGTCACTCCTGCTTTTCAGTAGCCCACTCCACCCCCATCCCTTACACTGAATGCAGAACAACCACAGGAAACTGTGGAAGTGCCATATATTACTTAATCTCATCCTCTCCTCCCTAGCCCCAGGACTGAGTACTTTCTTGCAACAATCCTTGTGAAGTTAAAGGAACGCTGGCTTGGGAGTCAATAAATGACAAGTAGATTTTATTCCACTTTGCATCACTAACTTAATCTGTATTTGAGCATGCTGCTGGCATCTCCGAAACCTGGTTTTCTCATCTGCAGTATAAGGATGGTTTCCTAGATGAGTATCAGCAGGACTGGCTCTGTCCTCTTCAAACACAAACACTCAGTTGTTATTTGCATTAATTGTTTATGTCTCTGGGTAGGATTTCCTTAGAGGGGTTGTTCATTTCATGTTCAGAAAAATGAAAGCCGCTATTCTAGAATATATATGCCCTGTCTGTCCTTAAGTTTGGGACCTAGTATGACCCTGTGTTGATACGGAACAGAATTGAACTTTTCCAACTGACATTCAGGTCTCATCACCAGCCCCTTTTCTCTTACTGTTTGGACTTCATTTCTCATGTGCTTCACTGTATTTATTCCACCATCAGTCCCACTTACTTCCTGCCAGACTCATACCCTGTTATTTTTTTCCATACTTAATCTTCTGTTCAAAGGGTATGTTCCTGAATTCAGACACAGCAAACCTACCTCTAAGTCCTAGCCAGGCTACATACTGGCTTTGTAATCTCAACCTCCCCAGTCCTCAATTTCTGCAACAGCACAATTAGTGAAAGAGAAGCCATAGCTACCATGTTTGTATTACTTACTGATTATGGGCAATGACTAAACATCTTTTTCTCATTTGATTATCATGAACGGCCATATGAAATAAGTATTATGACTGGATTTTCTGAAGCAGCAACTGAGGCTTAGAGAAATTGCATAGCTGCCTCACAGTTTCTTGCAGGCATGTGACTAACTCCGATGCCCAGGCTACCAACTCCTTTGCCTCACAGCGCCCCAGTATTTTCACCTGATGGCTCACAAAACTGCTGTGAAGGCTAATGGAGGTAATACCCATAAAGGGTGGGAGTGCAGTATTCGTGTTGGTTTTCCTGATCATGTCACATGTCTGTAAAGTCCAGGCTTGCCTAGTGCCTCTGTCTATGCCCTCAGTCAACCAATTCTCCCCACTGCCTACCGCCACTTTCACCAGTCTGAATATTTCTCCACCCACTCACAAGATGTGTTTTCTATATATCATTACTTTATGTTTATTACATGTTTCTCTTATTTCCATAAGCAAATGCTTAAGAATTGCTACTTCTTCCACATATCTCAGAGTTCCTGGGAATAGTAAAGTTGCAGTGGACATCAATATCATTTATCAATTGGAAGGAAACTGCAGTGAGCAGTGGGACATAGATAATGCTGGTGCCAGCCCATCCTCCATGTGTGAAAGTAAATCTCTTCTAGAGTCTGGTTGCTATTTCCCTATCCAATAAGCTCAATGATGACATTTTCTAACTGTCATCTTTTACCCTGTGTATTCCTAGACAATTCAGCCTACATCAATAATTAAACTGTACCTTGAACTTCCAGTTCAATCTTGAATCACACCATCAGCCACCTTCATGGCATGTTCTTGCACGGTAGGTAGTAAGGAATTCTTTTTTAAAGAGCTGTTCTAGGAAAGACAGAGGCAATTATAATTAATTCTTCATAGTTCCCTCACTTTTCCTACTAATTTAAGTAGACAACAGATAATCCAAAAAATTGTCAAATGTGACCTATTTTCTTAAATAAAGGGCAGGTAAAATAATGACAATAGAAATAACTGTTGAATAGAAATAACTGAACTGTTTTCATAAAGAAATGAAAGAAAAGAAATGATTTAAGCCTTAAAGCTAGACTGTGGCTAAGATAAAGTAAGACCAGGGGCTACTCCCAGCAGGTGGAGCAGATGTACAAAGGCCCAGAGGAGGGACAAAGGGACTTTGTGCAGTGTAAAACACAGAGCAAGGAATGTGAGTCACATACACCAGGTTCTAATTTTGACTTCTGGAACACTTTTCAATTTATTAAGGATGACTTATTCTTTCATATGTGCATTTGTACTTAGAAATATTAAATTAGGATTTTGTATATGCAATTTAGTAATTACACATCAATAGGTCCCAATACATACACATATATACTCTAATTTTAATAAATATTATTGATAGCACTGCATGTCTCTATATGAAGATCTATATTATTTATATTTTCTGTTATTTTAGCTATGCTGCATTGAAAATCTTCATAAGTTTGTGTATATGGTATGTGTGCATGTGTGTGTATATATATATACACACACACATTGTTTGTATATGTACATGTTTATATGTATCTATGTATACACATGTGTATATATGCAATTTGAATATATATATGCATATATACATGCATGTATATATACACAGATTGAATAAATTGTATTACTGTAAGATAATTTTTAACAATATAATTGCAGAATCAAGGAATATGAACATTTTAAAACTTGAATAGGCATTGCCAAATTTTGCTCCCAAAATGTTCATTCTCAGCAATAATGTAGTAAAGACATTTTTCCTTTCTATTTACATTTCTTATTTTTCAATTTTATTATTTTTATTCTTACTATCTAATAGATATGCATTGTATATAATAAAATAAATCAGAATTTTGTTCAGCAAACATATATTACTAGATAAAATACAGTAATTATTTTAGTCTAAGTAGATTTATAAATATGCTCATTTTAAAAAACAATGTTAATAGCAATAATTAGAATTTATCATAGTGAGTTTGTCACTTCCTCAAAGTAATAGAGTTAATGAGTGATATAGCTAGGATTTAAATTCCAGAAAACCTGATTCTGTGGCTGATCTTTCTTTCTCAATTCTATTTGGATAAATATATATAAACACATATATACATACATATATATATATACACACACACACACACACACACACACATATGCAATATTTTTTTCCAAATGAATGCTTCAGTACCTAGATAGACCATTAAGCTCTGTGACTATTCAACTAGCCACTAGGATTTATCACTGAAGGACTTCAAAACAATCTCTTAATGCAAATAACTTCCCAATTCCTTTCTCTTTTCATAAAACTAGGGACTAGTGACAATGTAGCTAACTCTAATAGAATTTTAAAGAATAGAAGTGGTAATAATGTTGTAATTTTTGAAATTGGAGTTTATAATAAGTTGTCAGTGTATTGTCAATACCACTAAACCACCAGCATCACCACTACCATCACCAGTTCCATCACCATCTCTATAGCCATTCCTGTTGGTAGATACACTTATAACTAAATTTAGTAGTTATGTTTTGACACATAGAGAAACATAAAAATTGAACTCATTATTAAATTAAAACCACCAATCTGATACAATATTAGTTATATATTATACATTTTAAGCAAAGCAACACTTTTTTAAAAATCAGAGATTGAAGACTAATAGTACAAAAGAATTAAAGGGCCTTCAGCCCAAAAATAGAAAGGAGGAAGAGAAGAGGAAAGAAATGAAAGGAAAGTGAGAGATACAGATATATAGCTATAGAGATAGACATACACATACACAAAGGCAGAGAGAAAAAAAAAAGTAAGAGGAGATATGGGGAGGTGAGAGGGAGAAAGAGAGGAGGAGAAAAAAGAAAGTGAAATTAGGGGAAAAATGCATCGTAGACTCTCCTAGTAACTATTTCCAGATAGGTTATGTACTCCTTTGCTTGGATACTATGAGCATTCTTTGGAAATCAACACATATTATTTTATTTACCAGTTTTCATTTCTTAGAGTCTGGCTCATTTAATTTTTAAAAAATTTGCTCAAAGGGTACAAAAGTAGATCAAGTAAAGTAATGTGTTCTATCTTAAGTAATAATTTTAGTAGAAACCCTAGTTCATAACTTGAATTTTCTTATTCAGGAATAAATATTGCTTAAAGTTAGAGCAAACAGGTATTCAGTGTGAATTACTGACATACTATATAAGAGACATACTTTTAAAAATGTATATACTTAATGAAATTAATTTAACTAATAATTTTAAGGTAATTTGTATGCTATAATTCTACGCAATAACTAAAATCTATGTGCTAAATATTTAACCAAATAATACGAATTTTAGAGCTTAGTTTTTATAGCCATTTAAAAGTGGGGAGTTGTAAAAACATTCTAAGGTCATCTGAGTCATAACGAAAGATCTTATCACACCCAAAATTAATTCACATGAAATAACTTCTTCAAGTCCAAAACCAGGTGAATTTATTTCAAGTTGATGTTCCCGACTGTGGAAATAAGCTTTCCAGATATAAATCGGGGAAAAGTCATTCAGTTATTAAATCTTGGTCAGATTCGTAGAACTAGGATTTCAAGTGTTTTCAAAGAAAGTTTTAAAGCAGAAGCAGTAAAAATCTGTAAGCCTAATAATGAAGAAATAACTTTCCTGGGTTACCAAGACGTTTATAACTAAGAACAGTCTCCAATTAAGAACAATTGCTAAAAAGGTATCTAAGTACAGCGTTTACCAAATCATTTCATGTTTCTTTTTGAATTCCAGTTGACTGCCCTTTTAGATGAATGTGGAGAAAGTTTGCGATCCATTTCTGAGTAGGTAGATCATGAATATATGATCTCCACTGAGTGACTGACCAGGGCTGTATGAATGTGTTTTGCCCATTTGAGCAGCTGCGATGGGTCACAAATGCATCATTCTAGTTGCATCCCTTGAGGCCAGTTCTCCACTGATGGAGAATCTGATATGTAATCCAGTGAATTCCCATCTATTTTCTTCAATAATAGGGTGTTCTCAGGGGCAAGAACACCCCTGGGGCCAGACACACATGCTTCTCCACAAGCAGAAATTTAGATCACAGTATTAACCATTAAATCATGTTTCTGCACCGTGATCTGTACCTGAATTGCAGAATGGCCACAATCTTACAGTAACTAGAACATACAAACTGGCAGAAACCTCAGTCAAATCTCATCTCTAGATTCCATTTCCAACACAGGAGTCATATGTGAACCCAGGAAGTTGCCATTTTGACCAGAAAATATGCATCTAGGCAAAACTGTTTATTTAAATTGTTTCCAATTTCTTCATAACTGACATTTTTAAGTAATATTTTACCATTTTGGAAGTAATGCCTTATAGCTTGCACTCCTTCTTGTGATAAATTTGTTTAATGCGGTTGCTTCTTTGGCATTTATTTTTAGGCCCAGCGTAAATTGTCTAAAACCCAGTCATACTCTGCCACCTTTGGCCTGGCTGTTTGTGACATATCCTGTTTGTTACTCACTTACTGACCCACAACCCAACACACTCACAATTGCTGGCTATGATAAAACCTAATAGTCAGTGTCAGAGTTATGCAAATCAGTCCTCCCTTTACTTACCAGTCTTCTTTAAATTAGACAATTCACAACCCCCGCAGGAAAACCTAAAGGATAATGCCCATGGACTTTAATAAAGGCATAAACCCACAGATCCTCTCTTTCTTGCTTCCCCTTGTTGAGCCCCCTGCTGCCTCTGGACTTTGGTCAGACTCCTGTGGGCACTCTTCACCTCTCTGAAACCTGTGAGTCATACCTTTCTTCTGTTTCATGCATTTTGGTTTCACTTCTTCATTGTGTTTCATCTGACACACAATCACCCACACCCACCCTCTCCAGTCAGGGCTGTCACAGAAAGTGGCAGTCCTGGTAAGAATAAATTGGGCACAGGTCAGACAAGAGCCATAAGGACATCTGCTAGTACAGTTTTCCTGTGAGAGGAAATTCTCGATCCTAGTCAGACACTTAGGCACTGGGCTCTCCTCCAGGACAAAGAAGTATCCACAAAAGGCACATTGTAAATATCCATGTCTACATCCTTTGAATTCCTGGTCTGAGCAGGGCTGGAGCTGTGGGCACTCTCAGGAGAGAGACCTCAAGACAAAATGAATAAAAAATCATAACACATCTCCACTCTATAAAAAGTGATTCTATTCACATTGACTCCTTTATGTCCAGCAACTTGTAAGGTTATCAAGAACTAGAATGATCATTCCAATTTTCAGAGCCTAATCCTTACAAATTGTGCACAGGCTTCCATTTCAGGGTCATTTTTGTTAACTGTCTAATGTTATGCTTAATAACCAATACAAAACTTAATAACTTAATGCTGAATAAAAAGTAAAATCTATGCCTAAAACTCTACATATAGTATGTTAAATTCTTTAAAATTCAAAACCAGATAAATCTTTAAAAAACATATCCATCTTAGGCAAATATATTTTATTTTTAAGCAATAAGAGAATTATGCATTAACAAAATCAGGATATTGGCTACCTTTCAGGTAAGACAGGGGACAGCATAGAAAAGAGGTTAAAAATGGATTTAATTTTTGGTAACAGTTTAAGTTTTGGTATGGATAGTAAATTTACATGTATTTGTTATAGTAGTTAAATAAATGTAAAAAGCAATAACAGAAAACAAATATGATAAAATTGTTTGAAAATAGGTACATTCTGTTGTTAAAATTTTATTATAAGAACTGGTTCCTTCTAATTATCTGTTGGCTCTGCTTCCTTCTGTGTTGACTTTTTTCACTCTTGGTAAGATTATAAGCAGGAGTCCTGTATCTGTACTCTCAGCAACTCTATTAGGAAAAAGAAAATGCCTTCTCTCAATAGTCCAGAAAAATGTGTTGACTTTGCATTTGTTTGCTAATAATGCTTCAATCCAAAGATTAACTCCTAGGAGACTTGTTTTATAATCAAGCTAGCGAGAGTCATATTAACACCCTTGGGAAGAAATTAACCCAAACCAAACATTACACAGATATACTGAAAATGTCAAAGTTACGGCTACTTAGAGGAAAATCAGAGTTCAGAGCCCACCAAGAGAGTTTCCACAACTTGACGTTAGTGTTCTTACGAGGCAGGCAGGATGCATCTGCAAAAGTATTTAGATATTGTACATAAAAACAGCAAATGACCACCAAAGATTGCACGTTTTCTCCTTATTGAGACTACATTCCATACCATATTATGAAAAATATTGCACTGTATAATAGGCGCATCCTGACATTTTCAACATCTCATTTGACGTGTTGATTGTAAGTGCTAAGTCGTATCAGTGAAAGAGATTTCTACTGGAGCATTTGATGTATCTCAAGACCCGACCTCACTTACATTGCTATTCTTCTAAATAATTAGTTTTAGTGTAGTTCAGAAAGAATATTTTATTTATATCCTTAACCATCGCATAGGTAATTTTACAGAAAAGTTAGTTATAAACTATTACCCAAGCTCTCTTCCATTGTGTTTTCATTTGTCTTATTTATTAATTTACTTATATAGCAATTGATTATTTAATGCCGGCCATTAATTGTCATTTTCAACATTTTCTTAGGGTAGATAAGTGTGCAACCTGGGCAAGCTTCTTAAGTTCTGTGAGTTTCAGTTTTCTTTCAGTTTTATTACCTACTTCATGGAATATTTATGTGGATTAAAAGATCAAACTTTTATAAAATGATAAACAGAGCCTAGTATATAAAAAGCATTCAATACATATTTGGTAGAATAAAATTATATTAATAAAAATGTGTTTTGTTAAGTGTTATTTTACTAACTTGAGTTAATAAAACAAATAGAAATGAAGTTGAAAAAAGTGAGATTAAGTTCCTGGTGTACATATTAATTCTCAGGCCACTTGCTATAAATATGAGGGTTCTCGGAGGGAGATGTCTATATCCCACAGACTAGAACCTCTTGTTTTGAGACATCACACTTCCTTTCCTGCATACTACTTGCAAATAAATTATAAGTGTATTACAGAAGCTAGAAAAATTTGTTCCCCAATGCAGGGAGGGGCAACTTTAAATCACTGGTGGGAGTAGAAGTATTTCTTGGTGATCCACAGCTTCTTTAACCAATGCCTTTCTGTTTTCTATCACCCTCTCCACCATCCGTTTGTTTTTTTCCTCTTTCTCCCTCATATCTTTGGTGTCCTTGAGGCACCTCCACATCCTCATTTGTATCTAATTACTGAGTATGAGGAAGATTAACTTACTGTTCTTGTAGGCTAAATAGACAAACCAAAAGTTAAATTTATTACAACATTGGAATTGTTTTCAATATGCAAAATAAGGGAAACTTTAGGGAATAATATTGTCTAGGATGCTAATACCTTTTATCATGTCTTGAAATATTCCCTCTGACAAGCAGGAAAAATTTTTTTTCCTATATTCTATGGGAAGGCTGCTTTCAAAAAGATAATCTTGACACTAATTTAGAGAAAGGAATGGGAAAAAATGAATAATCAAATTTTTTCAAGGTTTTATGTTAATATATGAAATAAATAGAATAAAATATAATACTTGGAATAAAACAATTTGAATTCAACAAATACAAGCCTGAACTGGTAAAAGCTTGGCCTGAGCAGATCAGAAGAAAAGAGTGGTTCAGGAACAAATGGATAGTTCTGACTCTCATATGACTCATCTCTGTTAAATCAATGCCTCTTCCTCAAGTCACACATATGGCCTCACAGGGAATGCTCTGAGATGATCTGACAGAGGAGGAAAGGATTCTGTTCAGGTTCACAAACAAGTCACCACAATACATTGATATTAACCTAAAATGACATCCCAGCCCTAAATGGTGGCCTCAAAGGTATGTAGCCTAGAGAATTTCTGCTAGTGGACAAAACCCTGAATAATATTCTTGCTTTCAACTTTGTATAGAAGGGGAAGAGTCCTGGGTAATAAATATACATTGACTTGAAGCAGTGATAAATGCCTAGTTTGTTGATCAAGTGTCTGGAAGGTCAGAAGACTGGACCAAGCGATCTGGAAAAGAGTTATGTGAATAGACCTATTGAAGTTGGAACTAACTTGAAAGCATGTACAAGAGAACAGGCTTTAACTATCTACACGATGAGGATGGACTGTGCTCTGACATGATCCAGCCTAAGGATATTCCAGTGATGGCACAATAAGCACATGGACAGAGTGTCTATACTGGCAAGGATGTTTTATGCTTGGGCTCAGAGACACGAGCTCCCTACCATAAATGCTGATCTGCCGTCTGCCCCCTCTGAGTGTCCAACATGCCAGTAGCAGAATCCATGCCTGAGCACTCAATGTGATGCCTATCTCTGGGAAAATATTTATGTGACTGATAGCGGGTTAATTATACAAAACTTCTTCCACCCTGAAAGTGAAAGCAATTGCTCCTAATCAGAAACAATAGACACTGTAGACATAGATTTGCCTCCCATCTCCATAGTGCCTTCATCTACACCAACATTTGACAACTTGCAGACAGATTGATACATTGATATAATATCCCTTAAAGATTGCCTAGGACCTTTTAGGGCAAAGGAGATATAAAATTTTCTCATGATCTCAGAATTCACTGATCTTACCATATAGCCCATCACCCGTAAGCTTCTAGCTTCATAGAAGAGGGGAAAGGATTGTTAAGAGCTCAATCAAGGGACTAGCTAGAAGTCAGCGCTGGAGGAGACAGGATGCTGTCTTCAGGATTCAGAGTATGCATTGAATGCTGAACCGATGCCTGATATGCGGTGTGGAGTCCCCATTTGCCTGCCATACATCATTCTGAGATCCAAAGGGTGAAAGTGAGTGTTTTCTATTTTTTACACTCCCAGAAACTCACTTTCTTAGTCTTCAGATTCATGAGGACAGAAGTCCCGGTTTCTAGAGAGAAGAAGATATTTTCCAGGAACACAGCAGGAACACTATTTTGTGCTCCTTACACAAATGGACCGGCATGCAAAAAAAAAAATAGTTACTATTTTTACTAGGGTACTTGATTCTGGTTTTTATGAGTAGCTAGTGTTGTTATAATGGATTAGGACAGAGATGATTATATCCAGAATGCAGAGAATGTAGTGGAATCTCTCTTAGCACTTGCACACCAGGGATAACTGTAACTGGACAATTGCAGCAACTACAGTAAATAAGAACAAGGCAACTAGGGATCAAACTCTTATAGATAAAGCTTTCAGTCACCCCACAAGGCAGACATCCCAAACCAACTGAAGTTCTGGCCAAGGGTGAAAGAAATCAAGGGTGAGAAAATGGGTGCTGGAAGAGGAAGATGTTCTCTATCAGCTATGGTTCTGGGAATTGTTGCAACACTAAGGAAGTTTTCTCAGTTGTGTTTTTCTTTAGGTCTAGTTTGGAAAACAGGACTGGTCGCAATCCTAAGGACATTCTCAATTACTACCTCCCAGTCTCTGGCCACATGCTCAATCAATTGCGAACCCCGGATGTTACCTCGTTCATCTCACCCTCTCACACTGCTGGCTGCTTTGACCTTCCCTGGGAGAGGACTGTTTTCTGGCATGGTCTCTAGTGTAACTGCTATGGTGAGAGCATCTACGTCCAATCTGACTAGACCCTGGGGTTTCATTTGTAAGTGCTGTCGTGAAGCGACGGTCAGAGTATATTATTCTCTAAAGGAAAAAGTTATGTGTCAATGTTTATACTATTCCTTTATGTGACTACAAACATAAAATAAAATAGAAATTATAAGTGAATATAGGTATAGGATTATTTTTAATGGAAGGAATCATAAGAAACTGAGAACAATGGTGTGTTTGTAAGAAAAGATAGGAAAGTGATTATTATGTTTTTCTTTCATTTTTTACGTTATTGAACTGTTTGAGTTTTCAGACAGTTCAATATGCATGTGTTCCTTTATATTTTCATGTAAATAAGACATCTGTATGGTAATATTATGTAACTTTTGATTTTATTCTTTTCTTCTCTTCTTTTGTCATTGTATTATGACAAAAGCTAATAAATGCATACTTTAAAAAATAGAATCTCTGTGAAACATAGTAAAGTATCCACAAAAATGTATTTCCTCTGCCATCTGAATTGTTGCTAAAATAAGAGCAAAATAGAAATTATATGTTAATCCACAATGACAAAAAAGCAAACAGGAAATACCAGCTGGTGAAAGATTTTCACACATTTTTTGAGAAATAGAGAACAGTGTTACTAAGTAGTTAACTTAGCATTGTGGGGGAAGTTATAGCCATCTGAGCAAGGACAGAGAAAACTAGCAAGTTAGTTCACTTGCAAAACTCCTGAGATGCTAAATGCTTGTAGCATACGATTCTACAGAATGTAGGAGTGAAACATACATTGTATTACATGAAAATTATTTTATTTCCACAGGCCATTTTCTACACAGACAGGTAAGAATTCCTCTATATTACTTCACAAAAGATTGGAGGTTTATTCTTTTGAAAGACTGAGCTAAATAATTCCCAGTATTAATGTGGAGGACAGTGATGAAACACGCATGCACAAGGATAAGTGAAATCTACAGTGTGAACTATGAGGCCCTTTCCTCTTGCTGCTCCCCAGATGTCAGCAGTCAGCACACATTACAACCTTATCAATTCCCCACTACTCTATACATAGCCTAGGCAGCAGGGTAGAGGATTGTTTATTTAGAAGGAAATATATGAGTGATACTGTACTGCCCGAAACCTCACAATTTAAGCCCAAAAATATGAAAACACTTCCCACACTTTTGGAAATTCTAAATTTTTTAAAATTTATTTCCTCCACTTTATACATATGGTGAGTTTCTGCTTTCAGGGATGATGATAAAACCAGTGAATAGCAAGGTAGGGTAATAGAAATCTGTCCTCAAAGGAAAGCCAAGAGGAATTGCTCTTCTGCACTTTTGTGATTCTAAGTTTAATAATATTTCTGTGTCATAGATATTTCAGGAAGTTATCTAATTATGAAATAGTATAAAAATGCTATAATAATGAAAAATAATACCTTACTCTTTTGAATGTGTTATTGTCTCATTTTTCCACTCCAAATCCCATGAGGTTGTTATTGTCTTGATTGCACAGATGAGTTAACCAAGGCTGAGAAATTTTAAGGTCATCTAGCTTAAATTATTAAGTCCAACTATTTCCCTTTAGCCTCCAAGAAAACATTTCTGCCCCACAGTTTCTTCATTGCATTCTTTACTTCTGCATTTCTCAGTGTATAAATCAGAGGATTTAACATGGGAGTGATAATGGTGTAAAATACAGCCACCATCTTATCCTCTGAAAAGGTCGTATCAGGGCGCATGTACATAAAAGTACAGGGGCCGAAAAAGATAACGACCATGGCAATGTGGGAGCCACAGGTGGAGAGGGCTTTGCGCCTGCCTTCTGCTGACTGCTTTCTCAGGGAAACTAGGATGATGCTGTAGGAGATTAGCAAGATAACAAAACTCCCCAGAGCAATGGTACCACTGTTGGCTGTCACAACAACACCAACAATGTATGTTTCTGTGCAGGCAAGTTTCAACACAGGGTGAACATCACAAAAGTAGTGATCTATCTCATTGGGTCCACAAAAGGGTAGTTGGACTACCAGAGCCACTTGGATAATGGAGTGTAAGAACCCACCTACCCACGTCCCTAATAACATTTTATTGCATGTCTCCCGGTTCATGATGGTCATATAATGTAGGGGTTTACAGATAGCCACATAACGATCATAGGCCATTACAGTAAGGATGAAGATCTCAGTGCAACCAAAGAAATGTACTCCAAACAGTTGCAACATGCACCCCACATAGGAGATGGTTTTGTCCTTTGCTAACAGGTCAACAATCATCTTGGGAGCTGTGACTGAAGAGTAACAAATGTCCACAAAAGACAAGAAGCTGAGAAAGAAATACATGGGTGACTTAAACAGGTTGCTCAGGCAAACTGTCAGCATGATGAGGAGATTTCCCAGAAGAATGATTATGTAGAAGAAAGAAAACACCACAAAACAAACTTTCTCAATCTCTGGGCTCTGAGAAAGACCCCAGAAAATGAATTCAGTTACGTTGTTTATTTTTTCCATGGAATGGGTCAAGTTCTTAGGAGACAATTAAATTACCTGAAAAAAAGAAAACATAAAAAGGACTGTATTTATTTTATTTCTAACGCAGAACCAACGGAAAATCACAGTAGATCAAAAGAGGAAAAAATGCTGATTGGCATGCATACTTGAAGAAATTGAAATGCATCTATTTTGATCATCTTACCTCAAGATAAGATCACATTCGTTCACTTCAGGTGAGAAAGCAAAATCCAGAGAGATAAAGTAAATCCCCTCAATCTCATATATATGTTACCACATGCCTCTCTTCTCTCACCTTTTATTAATGTTTATTTAGCTGTTTCTAAACTTTATTTAGTTTTTATTTTTTATACGACACTGAGTTTTGAAACAACTTCTGTATTTTGGGATATGGTAACATCTATGTTATCTACTGGCAAATATCTGGAAATGATTGCTTTATTTTTGACCCATAAGTGAAAACATACGCCCACATTTCACCTTTTGAATACTGCCATGCCTGATTATCACATCAACTCACAAATATTCTGCAATTTCTCTGCAAGTTTAACCACTCTTGCCTTTGCAAGTTCTTCTCATGAAACTCTATCTTTGTGCACATGATGTATGCACCTCCACCAGTGTGGTCTCGAGCCCTGATAGTCAAGATGTAGTGTGAGGTAATAGAAAGAGGAGCAAAATTACACAAAATTGATTCTAAAATGATACTACTGTAACCCCCAAGGTAAATTATTTAACTTAACAGAAATTCTCTTATCCCATTTGTGAAATGACAGTTTCAATTTCACTGTTACATATCACATTAATAGTTATTTCAGCCGTGAACTTAAATCACTTCTGTCAGTATGAAATATTCATAAAACCCTGATAGGAAGGCAGAAATAAGGTAAAGCAATAAAAGAAACTTCTAGAGACAAAGCAAGACCTGTTTGATTTGAAAGGAGAGGGAGTGAAGTCTTATGTAATTTCTCCATGTGCAAACTCAGAATACTTTAGGATTTTCCAGGACTGACTTTGCTTTGTATTTTTAAACATTTTTCTATTAACTGAAACGAAGAAAATGGGTGTAAAAAAGAGAAGACTGTCCCTTAATGTCAACATTGCTTCATACATCTTTCTAATCTTTCAAGTTTTATTCTGGCCATATTCATTCTCCCAATTTGGTCGATTTATATTTCTGGAAGAGATCATCACTGAATGACAATTTTAATGGGTTTAGGAAAATGACATTTATCTAAATGGATGAATATTCATTGGTGAAATTTCAGGCACTACAATGGGGTCATTGGTACATGGATGGAAAAGGGTATCTGTAATAGTTTTGATTAAAGGAGCTTTTAGGATTCTTTCGCTAATCAACCGCAGGTGTAAATGATCCCTCCAATTACAGGTGGTCTAGCAGAGACCTGTAGATCCTCTCAAGATCCATCCAGCTGAATGCTGACAACTCCTACTAAACTCTGTGCTCTCAGCTATCCTTATGCAGTGAAGTCGTGCCTAATACTTCCAGCTTTTGGGAATCTATAGGATTGTGTTTCTTCAGGTATTCATGTTAGAGTTGGCACAGTAGTCATTACAGGTGTGCTATCTCTTGTGCATTACAAAATAATGATTGTAAGAGTAATAGTAATATGATTTAGATACAGTCTCAAGCACATCCCCTGCTTTTACATGCTCATTCCTCTTCAGTTATCCTGCTGAATTAAAAGAAAAATACCATCCTCCACTAAGAGAGCCCCTCAACTTAAGGAAGCTCACAACATAGCAGTTTTGAGCAACAATTATTTATGTTGCTTTGCTCTCATCTAGAAGAAACTGGGCTTTTGCACACAAGCCTGAGGATTTTTTCCCCTACCGTCCATATCACAAGGTTCTAGAGGAATTTTTTTTTTCATTCACCAATCTATTTTATTCAGGTATTCATTTATCTTAATTGCAGGATTGAGATCTAAAGTTCCATTTATCAGAATGTGCATCCTAGTAAAGGCTGTTAACCTTCTGAATCATGGCCTCTCTTGACTCCAACTGATGCAGTAACATCTTGCTGTTTCTCTCCTTAAGCCAATATCCATCACAAGGATGCCTTCCTCCTTTATCTGGGCATGTTGGGCATAATGACTCACTTTCCTTTGAAATTATTGACATTTTCTTATTTGTGTCCATCCTACCCTTCCTCACAGTCATGTTTAGGTACATGTTACTATCTTACTATCATGATTTTAATAATTTCATTCTCTCTGTATTTCAGAGAACAATATTTTTCCATTATTTTATAAATGTTCAAAATCTAACAATTTAATTATCTTTTTCCACAAATATTCTGTATTCGTTTGAAAAGAAAAAAAAATCTCACCAGTATTTTCCAGAGCTTGAGTTCACTTTATGTTTCTATCTCTTCTTGAGTTAATTTGGGTGCAGCTTCCCAAGGTAAAGTAACAGTGATGCCTAGGGAATTCCTTTGTGAATAATTAGTACCGGAAAATACCTGACCCCCCAAACTGAAAGGCTGGTAGAAATGAGTCTTTGTTGTTCCTGGTTTTCTCACCTAATGATACCTGCCATTTCACAGGGTCTTTGACAATAAATGCTGTTTTCTCTATTCTTACAGGTCTATTTAAAGAGGAAGATGCAAAATGATAAATGACCTTGGAGACAGCTTTTCCCCAAAGTCTTCCTCCATAGTCAAAATCAAATTGCAGCCCTACCAATGAACTTTAATTCTAGTGTCTGTTCAATTTTTTAAAATTAAATTTTAAAAATTGTTGCTAAATACAAAAACCGATCAATTCTCATATTAACGACTATAGCCCTAATCCAAAGCAATTCAGCCAAGAGAAGTAATAATTTTATCATTCTAAACCTTGTTTTTGAATTAATATGCTTTACTATATGCATTAAATAGTCCATATTTGATATAACATATTAAGATATCTGTTTTATGTTATTTATTGAATTGTAATTGTTCTTTCTTGAAAGCTATATTGTAATAGAAAATAGTATATTCGATTGTGCTATTTGGGAACATTGCTTTTCTTCTTAATTGATTCTATGCTGATTTATGGAGAAATAGCTGGGATAAGGTTCATGTTTGGCCTATGCTTGGAATAAGTATGGTGTTGAATTTAATTCATTTACTTTTATATTGTAAATTCTTAAGGTTGACTCACGAAAACTAATAATAATCTTGCTTTTTCTCTTCCTATTTCTATTAGTTTCTTTCCCCATGCTTGACTTTTTTACTTTACTCTTCTTACCTTATCTTACCTTTTTCTTTATTTCAAACAACATCCAAAATGTCCAAGAGATCCTACTTATATTTTCACTATCTGGAGTTAGCAGAAGAAATGAGTGAAAAATAAAGAGTAGGAAGTAAAAGAGCAATTATGCCCAGGTTTGTGGAAACATTCATCATGATTAAGCTAGTGTGTTAGTTTCCTGTTGCTGCTGCAATGAATTACCACAAACTTAGTGGCTTAAATCAATACAAAGTCAGTATTTCACAGTTCTGCAGGTGAGAAGTCCAAAATGAGGCTCACTGGGCTAAAATCAAGGCATTGGAAAGGATGAATCCTTCCGAAGTCTGTAGGGGAAAACTCATTCTGTTCCAGCTTCTAGAATCTACCAGCTTCCTTATGGCCCCTTTCCTTCATCTCCAAAGCAGGCAGTGTAGCATCTTCAAATTTAACTTATTCTGCTTCACTTTCCCATTTTAAATAAACCTTGTGAATACGTTGAGCCCACATGGATAGTGCACGATAACATCTTTGTTTTAAGGTCAACTGACTAGCAAACTTAATTTTTATCTACAATCTTAATCACCTTATCATGTAACAAAATATATTGATAAGTTCTGAGGACTAAGATGTGAACATCTTTGGAGATCCCTATTCTGCTGCTCAGTTATTTAGATGAGTAGTGGGGCGAGTCAGTATATCTTCTATTCCTACTTTGCAAAATGTACTTTGAGATCTAGGAGATGTTTAAAAATATGTTTTGGAACAAATGCTAAATATAATATATAAATAATGGAATATTAATGTTCATATTTTATAACAGAAATGTGTGCAAAGGAAGGATATCTGATGAGAATTATCACTTGGATTAAAAAAGACAGCTACATGTCATGTGATAGGAAAATGATAGTAAATTAATAAAAGATATAAGAATAGTACATACACAGCAACGGTCAATAGATTTAACATTCATTTATTATAATAGCTTTATTGCGATATGATTCATATACTATGTAGTTCATCAATTTAAAGTGTACAGTTTAATTAATTGATGTTTCATAAGCAGGGTTGGGCAACCATCAACACAATCTAAGTTTACAACATCTTTGTCCCCTCAAAAAGAAACCCCATTCTCATTAGCAATCACTCCTCATTCCTCTCTCACACCATCACCCCCAGCTCTAGGCAAACACTAATCTACTTTCTATTACTACAGATTGGCATCTCTGGACTTTTTTTTACATAAAAATAATAATACAATATGTAGTTTTTTGTAACTTGCTTCTTTCACTTGCCGTAGCATTCTTAAAGATAATCCCATTGATGGGAGTGTAAATTAGTTCATCCGTTGTGGAGGACAATGTGGTGAGTCCTCAGAGATCTAAAGGCAGAAATCCCATTCCATCCAACAATCCCATTACTGGGTATCTACCCAGAGGAATATAAATCATTCTATTATAAAGACACATGCACACATATGTTCATTGAAACACTGTTCACAATAACAAAGACATGGAATCAACCTAAATATCCATCAATGATAGACTGGATAAACAAAATGTGATACATATACACAATGGAATACTCTGCAGCCATAAAAAAGAATGAGATCATGTTCTTTGACGGGGCATGGATGGAGCTGAAGGCCATCATCCTTAGCAAACTAACACAGGAACAGAAAACCAAATAAGGCATGTTCTCACTTATAAGTGGGATTTGAAAGCCATATTTTTCTTGAGACCAATAGATATGAACACTTTTTTGTAATACATTGTTTTCTCTAGATTAAATTTACATACAAGGAAGTGCAATGTTTTGAAGTATATGCTTTGATGATTTTTGACACATGTATATATTCATGTAACCACTAACAAATTCAAGATGTAGAAAACTCAACAACTCAGAAGTTTTGTCATGCACCTTTTCAGTTCATTCCCCCAGATACAACTACTTTTCTGGTTTTTATGATTCAATTTTAGTTTTCCAATTGTAAACTTATTATGACTGATTGAAGCATTTATTCATTTGTGTCTAGACTGTTTTGAGATTTATCATGTTGTTTTGTGTATCATTAGTTCATTATTTTCCTTTGCAGAAGAGTGTTTGCTGAAAAACATCCTATAACGTTTACTCTAACAACTTTTGTCTTTTAAATGCAGTATAATTATATGTAACGTTATTGAGATTTTTGAATTTAAGTTTCTATTGCTGCAGTTTACTTTGTCTCCTCTATAACTTTCTTCTCAATTTTCTTTATTAACTTTGACCTAATCAAGAAATGTTTTTGTGTACTATAAAATTCTATCCTCTTTTCTGTCTTTTTCTAAAAATAGACTATCTTTAGGGCACTTCTAGTTTCTCACACAGCAAAATTGAACAGAAGGCATAAATATTTCCGATATAGCCTCTGGCCCTACTCATGCATAACTTCCTTTATTATTAACATTGTCCAACCAGAGCATTTCATTCTTTACAACTGGTGAATCTACATGGATACATCATTATCACTGAAAGTCCATAGGGTTTATTCTTGTTACACAACAGGGTTTTATAATGAGATTCTGTTGGATTCATTCTTGGTATTGTATATTCTGTGGGTTTTGGACTATGTATAAAGACATTTCTGCACTCTTATATCATACAGAATAGTTTCATTTCCCTAAAATTGCCTGCACCCCACCTATTTATCCTTCCCACACCCCAAACACAGTTTTACTATCTCGATAACTTTACCTTTTCCAAAATGCCATATAATTGTAGTCATACATTATTAGTATTTTCAGATTGGCTTATTTCACTTAATAATATGCATTTAAGTCTCCTCCATGTCTTTTCATGGGTTAATAGCTTCTTTCTTTTTAGTGCTGAACGATATTTAATTGTCTGAATATACCACAGTTTATTTATGCATAGACCTACTGAAAGACATCTTGGTTGCTTCCAAGTTTGGTGATGCAGAGAAACCTAACATAAACACCTGAATGCCAGGGTTTTGCATGGACATAAGTTTTTCACTCCTTTGGGTAAATACCAAGTGGTATAATTGCTGTATCTTATGGTAAAAGTATGTTTAGTACTTGAGAAACTGCTAAACTCTCGTCTATGGTGGCTGTGCCATTTTTCATTCGAACAACAATGAATGAGTGTTCCCTTTGCTCTACACACTCACCAGCATTTGGCATTGCCAGTATTATGGATTTGGTCATTTTAATAGATATGCAGTGGTATATCATTGTTGCTTTAATTCATATTCTTCTGGTCACCTGCGATATGTCGTATCTTTCCATAGGCTTCCATGTCATCTGTATATCCTCTTTGGTGAGATGTCTGTTAAGGACTTCAGCCTATTTCTTTAGTCTGGTTCTTTTCTTCCTATTTTTCTCTTTATTATTTTTATATAGGTATACTCTTGTCATGGAGATTTGCTCCACAGATTATTTTGTCATCCATGTACTAAGCCTAGTACCCAACAGTTATGTTTTCTGCTCCTCTCCCACCTCCCACACTCTACTCTCCAAAAGGCCTCAGTATGTGTTGTTTCCCTCTATGTGTCCATGTGATCTCATCATATAGCTCCCAGTTATAAGTGAGAACATGCAATATTAGTTTGCTAAGGATAATGGCATCCAGCTCCATCCATGTTCCCGCAAAAGACAAAGACATAATCTCATTCTTTTATATGGCTGCATAGTATTTCAGGGTATATATATATGTATACATATATATAAAATCACATGTATATATATATGTATATATGTAAAATCATATATATATATGTATACATATATATATATAATCACATTTTCTTTATCCAATCTATCATTGATGGGCATTTAGGTTGATTCCACATTGTTTGTTTTCTTATTGTTTGTTTTAAGATTTCTTTGTATATTTTGGATAACAGTCTTTTATCAGATATTTTTTGCCAGTTTTTCTGCAAGTTTGTGGCTTGTCTTTTCATTCTTTTGATATTACCTGTCACAGCAAAGAAATGTTTATTTTACGAAATCTAGATCATCAACTCTTTCTTTCAAGGATGATACTTCTGAGGTTATATCTAAAAAGTCATCACCAAACTCATGGTCATCTAGATTATCTGTAACGTTACCTTGTAAGAATTTTATAGTTTTATATTTTACGTTTAGGCCTATGATCTATTTTAAGATAATTTTCGTAAAGAGTTTAAAACCCAGATCTAGATTGTGATGTGGATTATTCAATGCTGATGAAGAGTTAATTTGTGACAGGTTAATTATAATTAATTATTCTGTGGAAGAATTAACTACAAAATATGATAAATCCCTTCAATTTAGTTGTTGACTATACTGTTCTATATATGTCTATTAATGCTGCTTATGGTTTTGGATCAAATTCTCTCTATCCTTCTCCATCTATGCAAAGTTAGAGTTTGTAAATATTTCTATCTTGCAAATTCAATTAATATTTAATTATTTAAGACACAATAATCAATATTGCTTCAAATGCTAACATATTTGCCTGCTTTATCCTTTTCATGCCTTCAGTTTCACTTTCATGTGTATGTGTAATCGACCGTTTAGGTACATCTTTTGTGAAAGCACATTTGACAAACTGTATTTTAAACCATTATGATAATTTTCATTATCCTGCTGAAGAATTTACTACATTGTGTTAATTTTGTTTTACTTATATATTTTAATTGGCTTCTATGATCTTTTTTTGCTTTTATTTTTGCTTTTGCCCAATTTTTCTGTTTCCTTCCCATTTTCTTGCCTTTTATTTGGAATGGTATTGTTCCTTTTTAAAAATACATTCCTGGCTGGGTGCAGTGGGTCACGCCTGTAATCCCAGGATTTTGGGAGGCCGAGGCAGGCAGATCACAAGGCCAGGAGTTCAAAACCAACTTGGCCAATATGGTGAAACCCTGTCTCTACTAAAAATACAAAAATTAGCTGGGCGTGGTGGTATGCACCTGTAGTCCCAGCTACTCAGGAGGCTGAGGCAGGAGAATCGCTTGAACCCTGGAGGCGGAGGTTGCAGCGTGCCAAGATCGTGCCACTGCACTCCAGCCTGGTGATAGAGCGAGACTCTGTCTCAAAAAATAATAATAATACATTTCTTTGTCTCTTTTTCTCTCCCACTCCTGCTATTTTAGTAATTACTGAAAAAATCATATCTGTACATTAATATTACCAAGTCTGAATTTAATCAGTGTCTTTTCTTTCCTACCAAACAATACTTCTTTTCAACTTCCACTATGTTGTGGTCTAAGTTTTTTGTTCTCTCCTCTATTTTTCATCTTATATATTAGACATGATTAATATTTTTAACACAATATCTCAGTTTACAAATAAGGTTAGTATTTTCCTGATTCATTATTCCTTCCTGGATTTTTAATTTTCCTTCTTGGAACATCTTTCCTCTTAATAAAAATTAATATTTACAACTACTTTAAGTGAGTGTGTCTGTATAGTGAACTCTTGGCCATTTTTAAATTGCGGTTTCTTTTGTTTTATTCTACTGAAGACTCCCCACTTCACTTTTCTTGAAAAAATATAGACTTCAAGGATAATATTTTACATTTGGCACTTTTAAAATGTAATTTTATTTTCTTCTGGCTTCTAGTCTGTGTTTTAATTTTTATTTATTTATTTATTTATTTTTTAGACGGAGTTTCGCTCTTGTTGCCCAGACTGGAGTGCAATGGCATGATCTCTGCTCACTGCAAACTCTACCTCCCAGGTTCAAGCGATTCTCCTGCCTCAGCTTGCTGAGTAGCTAGGATTACAGGCATGTGCCACCACACGAGCGAATTTTGCATTTTTAGTAGAGACAGGGTTTCTCCATGTTGGTCAGGTTGGTCTCAAATTCCTGATCGCAGGTGATCTGTTCGCCTCGGCCTCCCAAAGTGCTGGGATTACAGGTGTGAGTCGCTGCATCCTACCCTGTGTTTTAAATTATTATTAATTAGAAATAATATTTTGTAGGGCTCTTTTTGAGAGCAACTCTTTCACTTTGTTGTAATTTTTTTCTAAATATTTCTCATAGTTCTAGAAATTGTCAATTATTATCTCTTTAATTTTATTTTCTCACTATTTTATAAATCCTGAAGTTTGGTAGATATATGTTGCCCCCATTTATTCCATTTCTAAGGTCTCTTAATATCCCTTTAACTTTTTCCATATCTTTGTCTCTCTCTTCTTTGTTCTGAGTAATTTTGTTGCTATTTGGAATTCACTGATTAATTAGGATACACTACTATGTTTTATCCACTGAGTTTCTAATAAAAATAACATTTTATTTATTTCTTGAAGTTATTTTGTTTGTTTTCTAACAGCCTAGAAAAATTTTAAACCAATGTTGTAATTTGACTTTAAAATCATTTTCTATTTTATACAATAAAGATTTATATTATATTTTGTGTCCATTAATTACAATAAACCCAGTCTTTGTATGCTGTGCTCTGATGTAGCTGTTTCCAACCTAATGTCTACCTATATTCCGTCATTTTTATTGTGTGATCATTTGCTTTTGAGCAAATTTTTTCTTCTTTTAATTTTTGGTTTTCTATATGAGCAGATTTATTTCAACTATGCCTTAAGTATAAATTCCTGAAAAGACTTTATTTTCTGCATTATGTGCCTGCACACACATGTGTGTGTTTGAGTGTGCACGTGACAATCCAGTATTAGTATAAACTCATAGCATGCCTTCTTCATTTGGCATCACTGCCCTTATTGGGAGTACAGTGAAGTATATTTTTTATTCCTTCTTAGAAGCTAAACACAGAATTTTCCTAGTTTCATTTAATATGGCAAGTGACTTCATATGCTACAATGAATATTCTATTTGACAACATTTTTCAGTGGTGATTCCTGTGTCTTAATCTTGCTATCATAATCTAATGCTGCATTCCTGGAAGTTTTTCTAAGCTTCATTGTGTAAATTACCATTCTAAGAGCTTTCTTCCTTTTTTCCTATGATTGACAGACAATTTTGCATTAATCAGCTTATCCCATACCCCATTGTGTGGATCCTAGAAGTGCAAGATGTTTCACTTATTTATTTCTAAATGTTTTATTTCACTTAGTGTTTTTCTATGGATAATTATTTTTTCAATAAATATCTTTCATTTTATATCAGTAATACATTATGAAAGAATATTAATACAAATATAGTACTTACTATTTTCTTAAAATTGTTTTAATTACATTATAAAGTATAATGAAATAATAAAAGACATACATTCACCAAAAAAGACATGTGTCAAAATGTTCAAAGCCGCACTATACATAGTAACCCGAAATGGGAAACCACGCAAATGTCTGGCAACAAGGGAATGGATAAATCAATCATTATATATTCATATGATAAGATACCGTATACATCAATGAAAACAGTCAGAAAACTTACCAACATGAGAAATGACTCACAAATGAAACACTAAGAAGACACACACGCAGCAACAAAATGTAAATCACTCTTACTCTTCAAAGTACAAGAAAAGATAAAAACATTATTATTATTATTATTATTATCATTATTATTATTATTATTTCAGACGGAATCTTGTTCTGTCACCCAGGCTAGAGTGCCGTGGCATGATCTCGGCTCACTGCAACCTCCGCTTCCCGAGTTCAAGCGATTCTCCTGCCTCAGCCTCTCGAGTAGCTGGGATTACAGGTGCTCGCCCCTGCGCCCAGCTAATTTTTGTATTTTTAGTAGTGACGGGGTTTCACCATCTTGGCCAGGCTGGTCTCGAATTCCTGACCTCATGATCCACCCACCTCAGCCTCCCAGAGTGCTGGTATTACAGGCATGAGGCACCGTGCCCAGCCGAAAACTATTTATTTTAGGAATAAATATTGTGGTTAACTTTGGGAGGTATTAATCATAAAGAGGAATAAGGAGGACCTCTGATGTGCTGATAATTTCTGTCTCTTAATTCAGTTGCTGATTTCACAATCATGCTCAGTTTGCAAAAATTCGTGAGCTGTACACAGGCAATACATGCATTTTCTGTGTTTAGACTTGAGTAAAAATGTAAAAGCTGAGAGTAATATTTCATTGATCTTCTCAGAACTTTAAGGCACAAAAAACACATAATCTGTTTTATTTTTTCAACACAACGCCATGTAATCCTTTATTTTTAAGAAATTTTCTGGTTATTTCATGTCACATAAGCACAATCGTAATGATTAAGAAAGGCGGAGGAGAGTATGGATAAGAATAATGTTCAATTTGTTAAAGAGATGTCAATGTAGAAGTATAAAACCACAGAAGGGATATGCTTCCTGTTTGCCCACTTTTCTCTCCAAACATTAAGGACAAGAGCAAGATGAGAGTGAATTTTTCTCATTCATCAGGGAACCACGGCATGAAAAGCAGAAACAATTCAGAAAAGTTGATTTCTTTTCAGGAGTATTTGACAACACCACACTTTCCTCATGGCGTTCTTCATCTCTGTGTTTCTCAGCGTGTATATGAGAGGGTTGAACATGGGAGCAATGATGGTATAAAAAAGGGCAAACACTTTATCTTCTGAGAATGTTGTGACCGGTCTAATGTAAATGAACAATGCAGGTGCAAAAAACAGGACCACAACAATTACATGAGAACTACAAGTGGCAAGAGCTTTGCTGCGTCTCTCTGCAGAGTATGCTCTGATGGTATACAATATAAAAACATAAGACAACAACAAGACAACAAATGTCACCAAAGCAATTAAGCCTGAATTAGCAATGACTAAGAGACCTATCATGTGTATATTAGAACAGGCCAATTTCAGCAAAGGATACACATCACAGAAGTAGTGATCTATCTCATTTGGGCCACAAAATGGTACAAAGATGGTGAGAAGAAACTGACTGGCAGAATGTATAAATCCCCCAGTACAACAAACTATGATGATTGTGTTACACTTTTGCCTGCTCATAATAATGGTGTAGTGCAGGGGCTTGCAAATGGCCACATAGCGGTCATAGGCCATCCCTGTGAGAATGAAGATCTCTATGCCTCCAAAAAAATGGGTGGTAAAGAGTTGTATCATACAGTTATTATAGGAAATGGTCTTTCTTTCTGCCAGTAAGTCAACCATTAATTTGGGGGTCACTGTGGATGTGTAGCAAAGGTCGGAGAGTGAGAGGTAATTGAGGAAGAAATACATGGGTTGGTGAATGAGCTGGGTGCACGTGATAGAAATCATTATGAGTAAGTTTCCCATCCAAATAGCAATGTAGCAAAACAAAAATAATACAAAGCAGAGGACTTCAATGTTCTTATTTTGGGAAAACCCCAAGAGAATAAACAAAGTGCTATTATTGCTTTTTTCCATGGTCCAGTGTAGATAGAACATATAAGTCACCTGAAATGACATAATTTATAAGCTTACAAGTCTTTGTTAAGAAGTACAATGATCATATTTTATTTGAGGAACTAGCTAGATTTAATTTACCTCATTCAAGTGGTTCAGAGAGTAAATATCTGGTATTCAATTAAAATGGCTTTCTAATAAGACTCTCCATGTATATATATACTAGATGATTTCCATTAGCTCTCTAGCACACTGTGATCAATCCCTGCCCTAGTAGGTATGAATTCTATTGTTCAATCAACAATATTAAAATTCTATCATAGGGAATGTTTATTTCCAAAGTCTAATGTAATATACAATATTGTAATACAAAATAATTCCTTGCAAAGGATACTGCTTTTACTCTCTGGGATTCAAAATTTATTAAGGAAACAAGTCATACAAATATTATTTTTTAAATAATGTAGAAAATTCATTGAATTAACCATAGCACTAAGCATTAGCAATATTGATATCAACAAATGGGATTTGATTGCATAAACTAAAACCAACGTTGTAGGTGGTGAACAAACATATCTTAAGTTGTTAGTCTTGAATGTTGCTGCAAAGATGACACTGAATTATCCAATGTGTTTCATTGCTTTCTAAAAATAATATTACATCAAAATATTTTAATTAATTCTTACCAGATGTCCTCAGAATGACTGTCCATTTATAATATACATTTTCAGCCCTAATTTCATTCTTGACTTCTTAAACCCCCTTAAATTTCTTCCTCATCTCTCCATGTTACCAAGTTAACATTGTTACCAATACAATGAATAATTTCATTGTAATAGAAATTGAAATTTCAAGAAGACATTCATTTTCATAGTGGAATTTCAAGAACTAGAATTAGATTAAAGGCACTTTTTTGAGAAAAAGGTTATGATCTTCTCCATAATCACACTAATCTTTGCCAATAAATAAGAAAGGCAATTTCATTTTATTTGAAGAAGAAAATTATAATATTGAATACACTACTAGTTTGAATTATTCTTAAAATTGCTTCTTATACATTTCCATTTTCACAAATTTATGTATGTTATTTAAAACCCACCTGAAATACACTTCTTAACCCCAACAAGCATATTAAGACTCTTACATAAAATTAAGCCTGTAAGTAAAGTAAGGCACAGAATGTTCTCAGACAAAACCAGTGCATCAATCTGTCTTCATTTACTGTAAGTTTACTAACAACGTAATTTGAATCCCTATAATTGTTGTCTTGGTTTTGTCAGCTACAGCTGATGACTAAATTCTCTACCTGGCAATTTTTCTTCTGGGTTCAACTTTTTTACAGACATAGAACCACCATGTTTAACTACTACAATGTTAGTGCTTTTTTTTAATTTACCAGTAAAAATCTAATCATGCTTTATAATTTGGAGGCAATCCCCGTTACTTGTCTTAATTCAGCCACTAACTTCAAATGTAATCTTGCAAATTTTATAACTTGTTTTAAAATGCTTTATCTTCACTTTAAATGTAAGGAAATATGTCTTCCTCTGTGTACTTAGAGATTGATGCTGAAGCTCAACCTTAATAATAGATGATAAAGGACATTTAAAAGAATAAAATAGTGTACAAGGGATGATATCGTTGTGCTAATATCAATATATCACAAGGAAAACACATGAAAATTACATTAGGATTCTAGAGCTTTAGGAAATTGTACATAGTAACACAAATGGTATATAGCAAACTAAGGCTTAAAATCTGAGTTCTCTGACTCCAAAGTCTGAATTTATAACCCTCTCACCATATGTCCATGTGAAAGTAAGAAAACTCACACGGGATAAACTGAACATTAATCCTGACTGTCCCAACTCTGAAGTTTGCATACATGTCTGAATTTCTCAGGCAAAGTAGGACACTTCTTGAATTTCAGTCATCGCTCCATTTTAGACAGTGATACTTAAATGGAAAATGTCTAAGTTGAAATATAGAACTATAAATTAGGCCAAAGTATTTATTAAAAACACAAACTGAATCAGTTCAGGATCCTTATATAAGCCAGCTCTAGAAAGCAACAAAAGTACAGCTCACATATTTCTGCAGGAAGCAAGATATATTTTGTTCTCCCAAACATGAATAGCAATACTGCATTTTCAGCTATTGTCCCCGTAAGAAAAATTGCTGGGGGAAAAGTGATTTGAGTGTATACCCTAACACTGCCACTTAGATTTATGACCTTATATTCTTGGCGCATATGTTTCCTTTCTGCAAAATGAGGACACTAGCCTCAATTCTATCTAAGAACTCTTCTCACAATATCATTTTCAGAATTACTTTCTTTTTTGTCAAAGTTTTTCAGGCTATCTCTCAAGAGTTGTAACAGCATGTCCCTTTTCTCACATGCAGTTCTCCAAGAAAGTAGGTGCTATTATCTGTTGACATTTATCTTATTTTTCTAGAATATGTCATCTCATCCCCAGTGGACAATCAGGTCCTCCTTAAGCTTAGTGTTCATTTAATCCAAAAATGTCTTAGTCTATAGAATTTGCAGTACAGCTTGTTTAAAAATTAGCAACTGCTTAATATGATTTCTTAACACAGGAGTAAAAAATATATTTTCAACAAATATCACATGTTTATGAGGGCAATGCTAAGAGAGAAAAAAATAATTGACTCACATATGCTCTGAATTTATTCAGAATCTCTTCCTTTTTCCTTTATAGTCGATTCTGTCCTCTCTTCATTGAAAGTAGTCATTCCCTAACTATTTAAATTGTTTCTTTGCAACATCTGACTTGACATCTTCAGCATGTTGAATGCTACTGATATTTCACTTTCTATTTTCCCCAACTTATGCACAAGCAAACACAAAATTCATACCATGTTAGTAACTATTACCTGTCATATCACCAAATCAAATAAATGATGGGAGGCCACCCCATAAAAAAAAGTTTGAAGGCAAGAGGAGTACTTGCCTTGTTTTCAAAAACTACTCAAATCATAGTCCAAAGAGAACCAAGTGATTTCTGAAGGTGTTCAAGCTCAAATGCCAGGCAAAATTTTAGGTAAAGGCTATATTCTAAAGTTACATTTTTATTTCTTCCCAAGGCATTTCTTACTTACTTACAGTTAATTATTTATATGTCCCCCATGTAATCAACTCACCAATTAGCATCCTCTTAGACCCACGTTACCAGAGCATGTAACTTGAATCCTATTTAATACAAAGATTTTTATGACTGAGATCTGCCGTTTATGCAATTTGAGTTTCTTTTTCCATTCTCTATAATCTGAGAGGGAAACTCTAGTTCTGGTTCTTATGTAAGAAAATTACTTCCATCAATTCCCATGCAGTGCTTTCATCATGTTCTCTGGGGAAGAAGTATGTGTTCTTACATACTTTATTTACCTTTAAGGTGACTTGTCAGGAAAAGTATAACTTTTTTGAGTTTACAAAATATTCATTTTAATATTTGTCAACAATACCGTTGAACATTCTGTAATTTTGCATTGGTCATGTCATTTTCAATAAGCTTTTCCTTTTTTACATCTATATTCAAAGCTAGTCCTTGCTTTTGCTTTGTTATGTGAGCACCACTAATAAGAGCAAATATTTAGTAAACATTTACTCTATGTCATAATGAACAAATTGACATTTACCTTATTTATCTTTGTAACAACACTACAGGATAGATATCACTACCATTTGCATTTCAGAGATGAAGAACCTAGGGCATAAAATAGTTACAAGGCAAGGAAGTGATGCTTCTAGGATACAGATTACAAATAGGGAGAGAAAGAGGATGCAACTGAAATAACAGAAATGCCATTTCTTGCCTTGAGGGGGAGTTATATGGGATCTCTCTTTATAATTATTCATTATTCTGTGCATTAATTTATCTGTGTCTTATTTAATGATTAGAACATTAAAATAATAAAAGTATAATAATACCCTAAGGTCATAGACCAAGGTATTAAAAAATTAATTCAACCTGTAAGTTTGCTTTGCCCCTAAAGTACTATTACCAAAGGATTCTGGAAGTTCTGCTTATGATCAGTCTATTTCTTACAAGCCAATTAAACTTTCTTTTTCAACATTTTTTTTTCTCTCTGTTTGTTATATGTCTTCCCCCACCCTTGATTTAGTCAGTGTTTTCATATTGTTTTCAGATGTTAGCATTTTCTCCATGGGGTCCCTTATGTTCCTCTTGGCTTTTCTTGCAGACATTTGTGCCCATTCATTTTTCTAGCTGTATTTGTTTACTCAAAACACTCTCCTACTCCAGGGATTCTCTTCCCCCTTAACAGAAAGCATCTAAGTATATCTTCCCAAGTTCTTTAAAGGCAAGTTTAGAGTACTTTTAGGTCTTTAACACATTTTAATCTATATAGTATATGCTGTGAGGCATGGATCTAGGCTCATTTTTGCATATGAACATTCAGCTTTTCTAATATTATTTGATAAAAAGCTTATCCTTTCTCTATCAAATTACATTCTCTCTTTTGTCAAAAGTCAGTTATCTATATTTATTGTCCTATTTCTGGGTCCTGTATTTTGATTTATGTATCTACATTGTCACCAATAACACACTGCCTTGATTACTATAACTTTTAATAAGTCTGGAAATTTGGTCATCTGGACCCTCCAATGTTGTTTTCTGGAATTATGTTAGCTCTTCCAGTTCCTTTGCCTTTTTGTGTGAATTTCAGAATCAACTTGTTGATATCTATTAAAACAAAAAGCTTGCTGGAATTTTTATTGTGATTGCATTAAATCTAAAATTCATTGGAGAAATCGGTGTCTTAACAATACTGAATCTTCTAATCAATGACCGTGGTATATCTCTGAGTTTGCTTAGATCATCTTTAATTTATTTCGTCAGTGTTTTATAGTTTTCTGCACACAGACCTTGCACATATTTTATTAAATTTATATGCAAATAGGTGTTACACTTTTTTTAATTTTAGATTTCAATTTTTCATTGCTCATATGTAAGAATGCAGTTGATTTTGTATGTGGACTATGTATCCTATGAATTTGCTAAATTCATTTATTAGTTCCAAGAGATTTTTGTAGATTCTCTGTAACGTTAACACAATCATGTTGGCTGAAAATAAAGATCGTTTTCTTTCTTCTTTTTTAAACTTTATAAATTTAATTATTTTTGCCTATTGCACTAGCGAGGCCCTTCCACACAGTGTTAAATAATAAGCAGTGAAAAAAGACATTCTCGCCATGTTCTACATCTTAGATAATATAAGTTAGTTTTTCATCATTAATTATTATGTTAGCTATTGGTTATTCATGGGCATTCTTTATTTGACTAAGGAAGTTGATTTTTGTTCCTAGTTTACTTAGAGCTTTTAGCTTTAAAATATGTTGAATTTTCTTAAAAATTGTTTCTGCATTTATTGATATGACCATACGGCTTTTCTTATTCTGTCTTTTAACATGGTAAACTACATTGATTGTTTTCCAATTGTTTACCCAGCCTTGTATTGCTTGGATAAACCCAACTTGGTTGTAGCATATTTGTTTTGATTGCTGGATGCGATTTTCTAACATTTTGTTAAAGGTTTTACATCTATATACATAAAAAATAATGGTATTTAGATTTCATTTATTGCAGCATTTTTATCTATTTTGTTATTAGGGTGATATCTCACAAAATGAATTCGGAAATATTTCTTTTTCACTTAAAGAGAACGTATAGAATTGGTATTTTTGCTTCCTTAAGTGTTTGATAGAATTCAGCAGTGAAGCCTTCTGGGACAGCATTTTTAAAAGGTTTTAACCACTAATTCAATTTCTAAAATATATATAGGGCTAGTAAGGTTATAAATTTCTTTTTTACTGAGTTTTCGTTGTACATGGCTTTCAAATTTTTCTATTTTACCTAAGTTGTAGAATTTATCAGACAGAGTTGTTCATGATATCAAACTTATTATCCTGTTGCTGTCTGGAGTATGAAGAAGAGTAATGTCCCCTCTTTATTTCTGATATTGGTAATGTGTGTCTTCTTTATCTCTTTCTCACATTGTCTCTTTCTCTATTAAGCTGAAATGAAGTTTATGAGTTTCATTGTGCTTTTCAAAGAACTAGCTTTTGATTTTATTTCCTGTATTGTTTTTCTGTTTTCAGTTTAACTTATTTCTATTCTAATATTATTATTTTCTTCACTCTACTTGGTTTAGGCTTGAACTTCTTCTCTAATTTTCTTAGGTAGAAGCTTGTGTTATTGGGATTTTTCATTTTTAAAATGTATACCTTCAGTACTATAAATGTTCCTCAAAGTGCTGCTATTGTTGCATGCTGCTAATTTGGGATGATGAGTTTTCATTTAGTTTCAAATATTTTTAAAAATTCTTTCTAGAAATTTTCACTTTCACCCATGAATTATTTATGGATATTGTTTAATTTCTAAATATTAGAACACTTTCAGATATTTTTGTGTTATTAATTTCTAGTTTAAGTCTATTGAGGTTGAAAGTTTATGGTATGACTTGTTAAGGCTTGTTAAATCACTGAGAATATAGTACATTTTGGTGTATGTTCCATGTTCACTCATAAAGAATGTACATTCTGCTGTTGTTGATATGAAATGTTTTATAGATGTCAGTTGGGTCAAGTTACTTAGTAATGCTGTTGAAATAATCTTCGGATTTACTGAATTATTTTCTACTTTCTATCAATTACTGAGAGAAGGGCATTGAAGTCTTCAACTGTAATTTTTGATTTGTCTATTTATCTATCAGATCTATCAATGTGGGGTTCATGTATTTTGAAACTCTGTTTTTAGGAGCACGTATATTAGGGTAGTCATGCTTTCTCAGAGAATTGATCCCTTTATCATTATGTAATGTTCTTTACTGCTTATAGTTTTCATTTTCTGAAAGCCACTTTGTTAGAATTTAATATTTCTTTAGCTTTCTTTCAGTTAATGTTTTTGTGGTATATCTTTCTCTATACAGTTCCTTTTTTTTTTTTTTTTTGAGATGGAGTCTCACTCTGTCACCCAGGCTAGAGTGCAGTGGCAGTGGTGCAGTCTTGGCTCACTGCAACCTCTGCCTCCTGGGTTCAAGTGATTCTCCTGCCTCAGCCTCTTCTCTATCAGATTACATTTTCCTCTTTTGTCAAAAACCAGTTATCTATATTTATTGGGACTACAGGTGCGTGCCACCATGCCTGGCTAACTTTTTGTATTTTTAGTAGAGACAGGGTTTCACCATGTTAGCCAGGATGGTCTGGATCTCCTGACATCATGATCTGCCCTCCTTGGCCTCCCAAAGTGCTGGGATTACAAGAGTGAGCCACCAAGCCTGGCCATCTATACCCTTACTTTTAATCACATATTTATATCTCTGCTTTGTAACTGATATATTTAGATCACACTTAAAATAATTATTTATATGATTGTGTTGAAGTCTTCCATCTTGCTGTTTTTAATCAATTTGTTTTGTTTCTTGTTTTATTTTATTTTTTTCCATAAGTTATTGGGGTAAGGTGGTATTTACTTACATGAGTAAGTTCTTTAGTGTTGATTTGTGAGATTTTGGTGCAGCCATCACCCATGTATAAACTGCACCATATTTGTAGTCTTTTATTCCTCCCCCTCCCCCTACTCTTTACCCCAAGTCCCAAGAGTCCATTGTATCATTCATATGCCTTTGCATCCTCATAGCTCAGTTCCCACATATCAGTGAGAGCACACAATGTTTGGTTTTCTATTTCTGAGTTACATCACTTAGAATAATAGTCTCCAGTCTCATCCAGGTCACAGCAAATGTTGTTAATTAATTCCTTTTTGTGACTGTGTAGTATTCCATGATTGATGGGCTTTTGGGTTGGTTCAACAATTTCGCAATTGTCAATTGTGCTGCTATAAACATTCAATGATGAATATGCTAAAAGCAATTGCAACAAAAGCAAAAATTGACAAATGGGAACTAATTAAATTAAAGTGGTTTTGTACAGCAAAAGAAATTATCAACAGAGTAAACAGACAACCTACAGAGAATGTGAGAGAGAAATTTTTGCAAACTATGTATCTGACAAAGGTCTAATATCCAGCATCTATAAGAAACATAAAAAAATGTACATACGAACATTTAAAAAATCCCATAAAAAAGTGGGCAAAGGACATGAACAGACACTTTTTCAAAACAAGACATACATGTGGCCAAGAATCATGTGAAAAAAAGCTCAACTTCACTGATCATTAGACAAATGCAAATCAAAACCACAATAAGATACCACCTAACACTGGTCAGAATGGAATTATTAAAAAGTCAAGGCCAGGTGCAGTGGCTCACGCCTGTAATCCCAGGACTTTGGGAGGCTGAGGCAGGTGGATCACGAGGTCAGGAGATGGAGACCATCCTGGTTAACATGGTGAAATCCCCTCTCTACTAAAAAAAAAAAAAAATACGAAAAATTAGCCAGGTGTGGTAGCAAGCACCTGTAGTCCCAACTACTCGGAAGGCTAAGGCAGGAGAATGGCGTGAACCTGGGAGGTGGAGCTTGCAGAGAGCTGAGATGGCACCACTGAACTCCAGCCTGGGGGACAGATTGAGACTACATCTAAAAAAAAAAAAAGTCAAAAAATAACAGATGCTGACAAGGTTGTGGGAGAAAAGAAACACTTGTACACTGTTGGTGGGTGAGTAAATTGGTTCAGTCATTGTGAAAGACAGGTTGACAATTCCTCTAAGACCTAAAGATAGAAATACTATTTGACCCAGCAATCCCATTACTGGGTATAAACCCAAAGGAATATAAATTGTTCTATTATAAATATACATGCACACATATGTTCATTGCAGCACTATTCACAATAGCAAAGATATAGAGTCAACCTAAATGCCTATCAACAATAGACTGGCTAAAGAAGATGTGATATATACATCATGGAATACTATGCAGCCATAAGAAAGAAAAAGATCATGGCCTTTGCAAGGACATGGATGGAGCTAGAGGTCATTATTCCTAGTAAACTATTGTAGAAACAGGAAACCAAATACTGCATGTTCTTACTTATAAGTGGAAGCTAAGTGATGAGAACACATGGATACATAGAGGGGAACAGCACACACTGGGCCTACTTGAAGGTGGAAGCTGGGAGGAGGGAAAGGATTAGGAAAAATAACTAATAGGTACTGGGCTCAAAGCATGGGTGATAAAATAACCTACACAACAAATCCTCATAACACGAGTTTGCTTATGTAACAAATTTACATGTATACACCTAAACTTAAAGTTAAAAAATAAGTAAATAAATAAGTAAAAACCTGAGGGGGGTGGCAAATGTTAAATTAGAGTGCATATTATAGAGACCCAAAAGCCAATCAGTGTGCATGGATGCCAGCACTCCTACACCTACTAGCATACCATCCCCACTGCACTGCCACCACCACCAGTGTGAGTGTGTATATGCTGGTGCCACTGCCAAAGCCTCACACCCACTAATGTTCTGACCCTGCTGATGATGTATAGGCAACTCAATCACCATCATGGCTACTGACATACACTAGCAGGCAAGGATCCTGCTGTCACTACCTCAGTGAAGCACTTTGGCCAACACCCCCTAATCAGAGTATTGGGGCCAGCAGACCAGGAACATCTTGGTCCCTCCAGTGCAGCAGATTCCTAGTCTTGAGGGACCAGAGAACAAGGCTGGTAGCAGCCCTCAGTGTTAGAGCACACAGCCAAGGAGTGTTGAGCTGAGCTCCCTGAAATCTTCCAGAATCAAAGCCAGTCAGCTGACTTATACCCTTCTTATACCACAATCAAACCCTTGAAAGCTTCCAAGAAGATAATGCAAAATATCCCATCCAAATGACGGCAATTTAAAAGGTTTAAGGAACATCAGTCCACACAGCTGAAAAAACAAAACAAAACAAAACAAAACAACAACAACAAAAAACAAAAACTAGCACAAGAACTCTTGGAACTCAAAAAGCCACAGTGTCTTCTTACCTCCAAATGACCACATTACTTCCCCAGAAATGGTTCTTAACCAGGCTGAAATGGCAGGCATAGAATTCAGAATTTAGATAGGAAGGAAGATTATTAAGATTCAGGAGAAGGTTGAAACCCAATCCAAGGAATTTAAGAAATACAAAAAAAAAAAAAAAAAAAATACAGGAGCTAAAAGATGAAATGGTCATTTTAAGAAAGCACAAAACTGATCTAATAGAGGTGAGAAACACACTACAAGAATTTCATAATAGAATTGCAAGTATTAACAGCAAAATAGACCAAGTTGAGGAAACAATCTCAGAGCCCAAAGACTGGTTCTCTGAATTAACTCAGCCAGACAAAAATAAAGAAAAAATAACAAAAAAGTGAGCAAAACCTCTGAGAAATGTGGAACTATGTAGAGAGGTGAAATCTACAAATCACTGGTGTCCCTGAAAGAAAGGGAGAGAAAGCAAGCAACTTGGAAAACATATTTGAGGATATCATCCAAGAAAATTTCCCCAACCTCTCCAGAAAGTCTAACATTTAAATTCAGGAAATGCAAAAAAACTGTATTAGTTTGTTCTCATGCTGCTAATAAAGACATACCTCAAACTGGGTAATACATAAAGAAAAAGAGGTTTAATGGACTCACATTTCCACATGGCTGGGGAGGCCTCACAATCATGGTGAAAGATGAGGAAGGAGCAAAGCCACGTCTTACATGGTGGCAGGCAAGGGAGCTTGTGCAGGGGAACTCCCATTTATAAAACCATCAGATCTCATGAGACTTATTCACTGTTATGATAACAGTATGGGAATAACCCTCCCCCATGATTTAATTACCTCCCACCAGGTCCCTCTCACAACACATGGGGATTATGGGAACTACAATTCAAAATGAGATTTGGGTGGGGACATAGCTAAACCATATTAGAACCCCTGTGAGATACTATACAAGATGATCATCCCCAGTACACACTCATCAGATTCTCCAAGGTCGACATGAAACAAAATATATTAAAGACAGTTAGAGAGAAGAAGCAGGTCACCTAAAAAGGGAACCCCATCAGGCTAACAGCAGACCTTTTGGCAGAAACTTTACAAGCCAGAAGAGAATGGAAGCCTGTATTTAGTTTTCTTAAAGGCAAGAAACTCCAGCCAAGAATGTTATATCCAGCCAAACTAAGCTTCATAAGCAAAGGAGAAATAAATTCCTTCTCAGACAAGCAAATGATAAGGAAATGTATTACTACAACAAGACCTGCCTCACAAGAGGTCCTTAAAAGAATGCTAAATAAGGAAATGAAAGACTATTTCTGGCCACTACCAAAAAAAACAAAACAAAACAAAACAAAAAAAACCCACTTAAGTAGATAGACAATTGACCCTATAAAGCAACTGCATAGTCAAGTCTACATAATAACCAGCTAACATCATGACGGTGGGATAAAATCCACACATATCGATATTAAACTTCATTGTAAATGTGCTAAATGCCTCAATTAAAAGACCCAGAGTGGCATAATGAATAAAGAAGTAGTCTCTGATGGTATGCTGCTATCTCACTTGCAATGACACCCATAGGCTCAAAGCAAAGGGATGGAGAAAAACCTACCAATCAAACAGAAAATAGAAAAAAAAAAAAACAACCAGGGGTTGCCATTCTAATTTCAGACAAAACGAACTTTAAAAAGAAAAAATCAAGAGTTGCTATTCTAATTTCAGACTAAAGAAACTTTACACCAACAATAATCAAAAAAGGCAAAGAAGGCACTTTGGGAGGCCAAGGTGGGCCGATCACCTGAGGTCAGGAGTTGAAGACCTGCCTAGTCAACATGGTGAAACCCCATCTCTAACAAAAATACAAAAATTAGCTAGGCATGGTGGCACATGCCTGTAATCAATCCCAGCTACTCGGGAGGCTGAGGCAGGAGAATCGCTTGAACCCTGCCTCATTGCGGAGGTTGCAGTGAGCCGAGATGGTGCCACTGCACTCCAGCTTGGATGACAAGAGCAAAACTCTGCATCAAGAAAAAAAAAAAGTCAAGGAAGGGCATTCTATAATAGTAAAGGGTTCAATTCAACAAGAAAAAGTAACTATTCTAAATATATATATGCACCCAATACAGGAGAACCCAGATTCATACAACAAGTTCTTAGAGAACTATGAAGAGATCAAATAACCACATAATAATAATGGGAGACTTCAGCATACCACTGACAGTATTAGACAGATCATCAAGGCAGAAAACTAACCAAGACATTTGGGACCTGAACTCAACATGACCAAATCAACCTAACACATACCTACTAAATCCTCCTCCCAACAACAGAATATACATTCTTCTCATGTGCCCATGGCACATACTCTAAAATCAACCACACAATCTTCCATAAAACAATTCTCAGCAAATTAATTAAAATAAAAAAAGGAATCATACCAAACACACTTTCAGACCACAACACAATGTCAATAGAAATCAATATTAAGAAGATCACTTAAAACAATACAACTACATGGAAATTAACTGACTCCTAAATGACTTCTGGGTAAACAATGAAATTTAGGAACAAATCAAGAAACTCCTTGAAACTAATGGGAAGAAAAATATACAACATACCAAAATCTCTGGGACACAGCTAAAGTAACGTTAAAAGGAAAGTTTATAGCATTAAGAGTGCATGTCAAAAAACGACAGCGAAATCTTAAATTAACAACTTAACATCACACCAAGATGAACTAGACAAACAAGAGCAAACCAACCCCAATGCCTACAGAAGACAAGAAATAACCAAAATCAGAGCTGAACTGAATGAAATTGAGATACATAAAAATATATAAAGAAAAACGATACCAGAAATTGGTTCTTTGAAAGACTAAATAAAATTGAAGTCTGCTTGCTAGCTAAACTAATAAAGGAAGAGAGAAGATCCACATAAGAACAATCAGACATGACAAAGGGGACATTACAACTGAACCCACAGAAATACAAAAAAAAAAACCCTCAAAGACTACTACTATGAACACCTCTATACAAACAAACTAATACACCTAGAACAAATTGATAAATTCTGGAAAACATACAGCCTCCCAAGATTGAACCAGGTAGAAATTGAATCACTGAACAGGCCAATAATGAGTTCTGAAATTGAATCAGTAATAAAAAGTCATCCAACCAGAAAAAGCCCAGGACCAGATGGATTCACATTTGAATTCTACAAGTTGTGTAAAGAAGAGTTGGTATAATTTCTACTGAAACTATTCCTAACAACTGAGGAGGATGGATTCCTCCGTCACTCATTCTATGAGGTTAGCATCATCCTGATACCAGAACATGGCAGAGGCACAATAGAAAAACAAAACTTCATGTCAATATCCTTGATAAACATAGATGCAGAAATCTTCCACAAAATACTAGCAAATTGAACCCATCAGCTCTTCAAAAAACTAATCTATCGTGATCAAGTTTGCTTTATCCCTGGGATGCAAGGTTAGTTCAACATACACAAATCAATGAAGGTGATTCATCATATAAACAGAACAAAAAGCATAAACCGCATAATTATCTCAATAGATGCAGAAGGCTTTCAGTAAAATTCAACATTCCCTCATGTGAAAAAACCTTCAAAAAACTAGTCATTGAAGGAACATACCACAAAATAATATGAGTCATCTATGACAAACACACAGACAACATCATTCTGAATGGGCAAAAACTGAAAGCAATCCCCTTGAGAAGTGGAACAAGACAAAGATGACACTCTCACCACACTTATTCAATGTAGTACTGGAAATCCTAGCAGAGCAATCAGAGAAGAGAAATAAAAGGCATCCAATTAGAAAAAAAAAAGAAAGCCAAACTATCTCTCTTCAGACTATATGATTCTATAACTATAAAATTCCAGTCTTTGTCGAAAAGCTCCTAGGTGTGATAAATAACTTTAGCAAAGTTTCAGGATACAAAACCAATGTACAAAAATCAATAGCATTTCTGGCCAGGCACAGTGGCTCACGCCTGTAATCCCAGCAGTTTGGAAGGCTGACGGGGGGCAGATCACGAGGTCAAGAGATTGAGACCATCTTGGCCAACATGGTGAAACCCCATCTCTACTAAAAATACAAAAATCAGCTAGGCATGATGGTTCATGCCTGTAGTCCCAACTACCTGGGAGGCTGAAGCAGGAGAATCACTTAAAGCCAGGAGGTGATGGTTGCAGTGAGCCAAGATCATGGCACTGCACTCTACCCTAGCAACAGAGCCAGACTCCATCTTAAAAAAAAAATAGCATTTCTATACACCAATACCATCCAAGCTGAGAGCCATAAAGAATGGAATACCATTCACATTAGCCACAAAAGGAATAAAGTACTGAGAAATACAGCTAAACAGGGAGGCAAAAGACCTTTATAAAATAATTACAAAACAATGCTCAAAGAAATCAGAGATGATACAAACAAATGGAAAAACTTTCCATACTCATGGATAGGAAGAATCAGTCTTGTTAAAATGGCCATACATCTCAAAGCAATTTACAGTTTCAATGCTATTCCAATCAAACACCAATGATATTCTTCCTGGCATTAGCAAAAGTTATTCCAAAGTTCATATGCAATGAAAAGAGAACCTCAGTGGACAAAGCAATCATTAGCAAAACGTACAAAGCTGGAGGCATCACATTACCTGACTTCAAACTATGCTACAAAGCTACAGTAACCAAAACGGGTACTGTTGCAAAAACAGACACATAGACCATTGGAACAGAATAGAGTGTGCAGAAATAAAGCCACACACCAACAACCATCCAATCTTTGACAAATTCTACAAAAATAAGCAATGGGGAAAGGATTCCCTATTCAACAAATTGTGCTGGGGTAACTGGGTAACAATATGCAGAGGATAGACACTAGACCCCTTCCTTATACCATATAAAAAATCACATCAAGATGGATTAAATACTAAAATATAAAATCTAAAACTATAAAAAAATCCTTGAGAAAAACCTAGGAAACACTATTATGAACATAGGCCCTGGCAAAGATTTCATGATGCGACAAAGCAATGGCAACAAAAACAAACATCGACAAATGAAATCTAATTAAACTAAACAGTGTCTACACAATAAAAGAAACTATAAACAGATAACTTACAGAATGAGATAAAATATTTGCAACTTACCAACTATCAGCACCCAACCTACAGAATGGGAGAAAATATTTTCAAATTATGCATCTGACAAAGATCTATTCTCCAGAATTTATACACATAACAATATTAACCTTAAATGTAAATGGGCTAAATGCTCCAATTAAAAGACACAGACTGGCAAATTGGATAAAGAGTCAAGACCCATCAGTGTGCTATATTCAGGAAAACCATCTCACGTGCACAGACACACATAGGCTCAAAATAAAGGGATGGAGGAAGATCTACGAGGCAAATGGAAAACAAAAAAAAGGCAGGGGTTGCAATCCTAGTCTCTGATAAAACAGAATTTAAACCAACAAAGATCAAAAGAAACGAAGAAGGCCATTACATAATGGTAAAGAGATCAATTCAACAAGAAGAGCTAACTATCCTAAATATGTAGGCACCCAATACTGGAGCACCCAGATTCATAAAGCAAGTCCTTAGAGATGTAGAAAGAGACTTAGACTCCCACACAATAATAATGGGAGACTTTAACACCCCACTGTCAACATTAGACAGACCAACAAGGCAAAAATTTAAAAAGGATATCCAGGAACTGAGATCAGCTCTGCACCTAGTGGACCTAATAGACATCTACAGAACTCTCCACCCCAAATCAACAGAATATACATTCTTCTCAGCACCACACCACACCTGTTCCAAAATTGGCCACATAGTTGGAAGTAAAGCTCTCCTCAGCAAAGGTAAAAGAACAGAAATTATAACAAACTGTCTCTCAGACCACAGTGCAAACAAACTAGAAATCAGGATTAAGAAACTCACTCAAAACCACTCAACTACATGGAAACTGAACAACCTGCTCCTGAATGACTAGTGGGTACATAACGAAATGGAGGCAGAAATAAAGATGTTATTTGAAACCAATGAGACAAAAGACACAACATACCAGAATCTCTGGGACACCTTCAAAGCAGTGTGTAGAGGGAAATTTATAGCACTAAATGCCCGCAAGAGAAAGCAGAAAAGATCTAAAATTGACACTCTCACATCACAATTAAAAGAACTAGAGAAGCAAGAGCAAACACATTCAAAAGCTAGCAGAAGGCAAGAAATAACTAAGATCAGAGCAGAACTGAAGGAAATAGAGACACAAAAAACCCTTCAAAAAATCAATGAATCCAGGAGCAGGTTTTTTGAAAAGATCAACAAAATTGATAGACCGCCATCAAGACTAATAAAGAAGAAAAGAGAGAAAAATAAAATAGACGCAATAAAAAGTGATAAAGGAGATATCACCACCGATCCCACAGAAACACAAACTGCCATCAGAGAATACTATAAACACCTCTACACAAATAAACTAGAAAATCTAGAAGAAATGGATAAATTCCTCGACACACACACCCTCCCAAGACTAAACCAGGAAGAAGTTGAATCTCTGAATAGACCAATAACAGGCTCTGAAATTGAGGCAACAACTAATAGCTTACCAACCAAAGAAAGTCCAGAACCAGATGGATTCACAGCCGAATTCTACCAGAGTTACAAGGAGGAGCTGATACCATTCCTTCTGAAACTATTCCAATCAATAGAAAGAGAGGGAATCCTCCCTAACTCATTTTATGAGGCCAGCATTATCCTGATACCAAAGCCTGGCAGAGACACAACAAAAATAGAGAATTTTAGACCAATATCTCTGATGAACATCAACACACAAATCCTCAATAAAATACTGGCAAACCGAATCCAGCAGCACATTAAAAAGCTTATCCAACATGATCAAGTGGCCTTCATCCCTAGAATGCAAAGCTGATTCAACATACACAAATCAATAAACATAATTCAGCATATAAACAGAACCAACCACAAAAACCATATGATTATCTCAATATATGCAGAAAAGGCCTTTGACAAAATTCAACAACCTTCATGCTAAAAACTCTCAATAAATTAGTTATTGATGGGGCGTATCTCAAAATAGTAAGAGCTATCTATGACAAACCCACAGCCAATATAATACTGAATGGACAAAAACTGGAAGCATTCCCTTTGAAAACTGGCACAAGACAGGGATGCCCTCTCTCACCACTCTTACTCAATATAGTGTTGGAAGTTCTGACCAGGGCAATTAGGCAGGAGAAGGATATAAAGGGTATTCAATTAGGAAAACAGGAAGCCAAATTGTCCTGTTTGTGGATGACATGATCGTATATCTAGAAAACCCCATCGTCTCAGCCCAAAATCTCCTTAAGCTGATAGGCAACTTCAGAAAAGTGTCAGGATACAAAATCAATGTGCAAAAATCACAAGCATTCTTATACACCAATAACAGACAAACAGAGAGCCAAATCATGAGTGAACTCCCATTCACAATTGCTTCAAAGAGAATAAAATACCTAGGGATCCAACTTACAAGGGACGTGAAGGACCTCTTCAAGGAGAACTACAAACCACTGCTCAATGAAATAAAAGAGGATACAAACAAATGGAAGAACATTGCATCCTCATGGGTAGGAAGAATCAATATCGTGAAAATGGCCATACTGCCCAAGGTAATTGATAGATTCAATGCCATCCCCATCAAGCTACCAATGACTTTCTTCACAGAATTGGAAAAAACTACTTGAAAGTTCATATGGAGCCAAAAAAGAGCCTGCATTGCCAAGTCAATCCTAAGCCAAAGAACAACGCTGGAAGCATCATGCTACCTGACTTCAAACTATACTACAAGGCTACAGTAACCAAAACAGCATGGTACTGGTACCAAAACAGAGATATAGATCAATGGAACAGAACAGAGCCCTCAGAAATAACACCACATATCTACAACTATCTGATCTTTCACAAACCTGACAAAAACAAGAAATGGGGAAAGGATTCCCTATTTAATAAATGGTGCTGGGAAAACTGGCTAGCCATATGTAGAAAGCTGAAACTGGATCCTTTCCTTATACCTTATACAAAAATTAATTCAAGATGGATTAAAGACTTAAATGTTAGACCTAATACCATAAAAACCCTTGAAGAAAACCTAGGCAATACCATTCAGGACATAGGCATGGGCAAGGACTTCAAGTCTAAAACACCAAAAGCAATGGCAACAAAAGCCAAAATTGACAAATGGGATCTAATTAAACTAAAGAGCTTCTGCACAGCAAAAAAAAACTACCATCAGAGTGAACAGGCAACCTGCAAAATGGGAGAAAATTTTTGCAACCTACTCATCTGACAAAGGGCTAATATCCAGAATCTACAATGAACTCAAACAAATTTACAAGAAAAAAACAAACAACCCCATCAAAAAGTGGGCGAAGGATATGAACAGACACTCCTCAAAAGAAGACATTTATGTAGCCAAAAGACATATGAAAAAATGCTCATCATCACTGGCCATCAGAGAAATGCAAATCAAAACCACTATGAGATACCATCTCACACCAGTTAGAATGGCAATCATTAAAGAATCTGGAAGCAACATGTGCTGGAGAGGATTTGGAAAAATAGGAACAATTTTACACTGTTGGTGGGACTGTAGACTAGTTCAACCATTGTGGAAGTCAGTGTGGCGATTCCTCAGGGATCTAGAACTAGAAATACCACTTGACCCAGCCATCCCATTACTGGGTGTATACCCAAAGGATTATGAAACATGCTGCTATAAAGACATATGCACATGTATGTTTATTGCAGCACTATTCACAACAGCAAAGACTTGGAACCAACTCAAATGTCCAACAATGATAGACTGGATTAAGAAAATGTGGCACATATACACCATGGAATACTATGCAGCCATAAAAAATGATGAGTTCATGTCCTTTGTAGGGACGTGGATGAAGCTGGAAACCATCATTCTCGGCAAACTATCACAAGGACAAAAAAACGAACACCTCATGTTCTCACTCATAGGTGGGAATTGAACAATGAGAACACATGGACAAAGGAAGGGGATCATCAGCCACCGGGCCTGTTGTGGGGTAGGGGGAGGCAGGAGGGGTAGCATTAGGAGCTATACCTAATGTTAAATGATGAGTTAGTGGGTGCAGCACACCGACATGGCACATGTATACATATGTTACAAACCTGCACGTTGTGCACATGTACCTGAAAACTTAAAGTATAATAAAAAAAATAAAAATAAAAATAAATAAATAAATAAAGACTAAAATTTATTCTATGAAAAAAAAGAAATTAACAAGCAGAAAACAAACAACTGCATTAAAAAATGGGCAATGAACATGAACAGACACTTAAAAAAAAGACAGACATTTGGCCAACAAGCATATGAAACAATGCACAACATCACTAATTATTAGAGAAAGGCAAATTAAAACCATGATAAGACAGCATCTTACCGAAGTCAGAATGGCTGCTATTAAAAAGTCAAAAAATAGCATGATGGCAAGGTTGCAGAGAAAAGAGAACATTTACATACTGCTGGTGGGAATGTAACTTAGGTCAGTAATTGTAGAAAGCATTTTAGCATTTTTTCAAAGAACTTATAGCAGAATTGACATTCAACCCAGTAATCCCATATTGGGTGTATACCCAAAGGAATATAAATTGTTCTGCCATAAAGACACATGCACGTGTATGTTCATCATAGCACTGTTCACAATAAAAAAGATATGGAGGCAACCTAAATGCCCATCAACAATAGACTGCATAGAGAAAATGTGGTACATATACATGGAGCACTATGCAGCCATAAAAAAGAGTGAGGTTGTGTTCTTTACAGCAGCATGGATGGAGCTGGAGTCCATTATCCCAAGCAAACTAACACAAGAATAGAAAACAAAATACCACATATTCTCACTTATAAATGGGAGCTACACATTGAGTACACATGGACTCAGACAAGGGAACAACAGACACCAGGGACTATCTGAGGATGGAGGGTGGCAGGAAGGTGAGAATCAAAAAAATACCTACTGGGTACTGTGCTGATTACCTGAGAGATGAGATAATCTCTACTCCAAACCCCCAAAACATGCAATTTACCTCTGTAACAAATCTGTACATGTACTCTTGAAACTAAAATAAAAGTTTAAATAAATAAATGTTTTTAAATGACTAACTTGACTAACTTGGAAGTCTGTGTTATGTAAGGGAGGAGAAATAACTTTTCAGATTTACACTAACAAAAGAAAAACCTACCACCCCGTTTGGTAAATAAATAAATATTTCTCTGGACATTTCTTCCCTTTTAGTGCCTTCATAGGGTATTGCTGTCATATAAGTTTATTTTTATATGTATTTAATGAACTTAGTTTTGATTATATATATAAATAACATATGCATAAATATATTATGTAATATATATATTATTGGTGCAAAAGTAATTGCAGTTTCAGATCATGAATTTTAAATCATTATGAATGGGCTCAAACACATCTTTTTATTATTAGTAGTAGCAGTATTAGTATTATACTTTAAGTTCTGGGATACATGTGCAGAACATGCAGGTTTGTTACATAGGAATACATGCGCCATGGTGGTTTGCTGCACCAATCAACCCATCATCTAGGTTTCAAGCCCTGCATGCATTACGTATTTGTCCCAATGCTTTCCCTCCCCTTGCCCCCCACCCCCCGTAGGCCTCTGTGTGTGATGTTCCCCTTCTTGTGTCCATGTGTTCTCATTGTTCAACTCCCAGTTATGAGTTAGAACATGCGGTGTTTGATTTTCTGTTCCTGTCAAACACATCTTTATTAATCACAGTAGGAACCATTACAATCAACATATTTTTGACAATGAAAAATTAGTTTGTTTATTCCTGTAGCATAAAGATCTGTGCTTCAGGTTTCGACAAACCCTTGGAAAGCATTATCTGCATCCTGCTTGCTGCAGAAGGATTTTCCCTCCAAAAGGTGTCAATATGCTTGAAATCAGTGGTCGTCGGTTGGCAAGAGGTCAGGTGAATATGGTGGATGAGGCAAAACTTTGTAGCCAAATTCGTTCAACTTTTCAAGCGTTGGTTATGGGACTTGCTGTCGAGGGTTGTCCTGGAAAAGAATCGGGCCCTTTCTGTTGACCAATGCCGGCTGCAGGCATTGCAGTTTTCAGTGCATCTCATCAATTTGCTGGGCATACTTCTCAGATGTAATGGTTTCGCTGGGATTCAGAAAGCTGTCGTGGATCACACTGGCAAGACCAAACAGTGACCATGACCTTTTTTGGTGCAAGTTTGGCTTTTGGAAGTGCTTTGGAGCTTCTTCTCAGTCTAACCACTTAGCTGGTTGTTGCTGACTGTTGTATAAAATCCACTTTCCATTACACGACACAATCTGATCAAAAAATTGCTCGTTGTTGTGTAGAATAAGAGAAGAAGACACTTCAAATGACGATTATTTTGATTTTTGGTCAGCTCATGAGGCCCCCACTTATCGAGCTTTTTCACCTTTCCAATTTCCTTCAAATGCCAAACAATCATAGAATGGTTGATGTTGAGTTCTTCAGCAATTTCTCCTGTAGTTGTAAGAGGATCAGCCTCCATGACTGCTCCTCATCTTCAAGGCTCTCATCTCCTTTGAACAACTTCTTGAACCACCACTTCCCTTTATGTTCATTAGCAGTTCCTGTGCCAAATGCTTTGTTGATGTTGTGAGTTGTCACCGCTGCTTTATGACCCATTTTGACTCGAATAAGAAAATCACTCAGTTTTGCTTTTTGTCCAACATCATTTTCCATAGTCTAAAATAAACATAAAATAAACAGCAAGTAATAAGTCATCAGCAAAAAAAAATCAAGAAATGTGCATTAAAATAATGTATAACATAACCACATTTATTTAAGAATGAATTCCAATTCAATGGCTAATTCCAACAATACAAAAACTGCAATTACTTTTGCACTGGCCTAATATCTATCTATCTATCTATCTATCTATCTATCTATCTATCTGTCTGTCATCTATCTATCTATCATCTATCTATCTATCTATCTATCTATCTATCTATCTATCTATCTATATCTATCTATCATCTGTCTATCTGAATATATATATAGTGACTTAAAGAAATGGGTTATCAAGATCTCGGGGAAGAGAACTTACTTAAGGTCACAAAGCCAATCAGTTACACAATAGGGCCTAGAAATTAGATTTTTGGATTATCATTCCAGTGTTTTATAAATACTATTTTGTTAGCCCTCCTCCCTTTTTTCTCAACCACTCCCTTGAAAAAATATATATATACACTCAGGTTTCTCTGGCTTTTGTCTTTGGGGAAGATGTTTATTTCCCAAATGAATGAGTCTTTCTGATTGTCTTTTTCTTTATCTTTTCATGATGAAGACCTAAAAAGTGAGTAACCTCTTTACTTTTTTAATAATCTGTATCCTAATAACTTGTTTCATTTTCTTAGATCCAAGATAATCAGACTGGAGAATTGTGAGGCCTATTTTAAGAAATATGAAACTGACTCCAACTGTGAATTCCAAGAGGAATATAAAGTACATGGTTGAAAATATTTTTTTCACTGGTTTGTGTGTTTTTGAAAGTGTGAAAACCATCTGTTTTCATCTTATGCTGAAGCTTTGGGTAAGTGCTTACCCTCTTAGGGTGGAGAGAGACATTCCTGCCTGTCCCCTAGGGTCCTACTCTTCCATGTTGCCTGTGACTGCTCAGATAAATCTTCATTTCTAATGGATTACACGTTTAGTCTTATTGATACCTGAATATTATCCAGAGAGATAGAAACTGGGAATTTAAGTTAGTGGACTATTAACTAGAATAATTAGGAAACTATATGAGCTGAAAAGAAACCAAATGGGCATGTAGACATCTGGGACTTGATGAAGATGTGGTCCAGGGTGGCTCATGAGGCTTACTAGAAGCTTTACAGAAAGAGTTTCTGGGCCAGTGTCTGCCTTTCAGTGCCCCATGCTCTGCCGCAACCAGCTCAGGAACTAGCCCTGCTCAGAGTGTCCATGCACACTCATCCACCTGTGCTGGCCTGTCCAGCATCTCTGCCTTCTCTCTCCTGAAATCCTGCTCAGCACTCAGGACAGTGCAGATGTGGCCTCCTCCATGGTTTTTCTCCGGTTCTGTTAGGAGGACTTGAATTCTGTGTCCTCAAACTTCCTTGTTTACCCTGCTACATGCCACTTGTTACCAATATTCAGCATTTGGTTAATTCAGCCTTGTAATGTGAGTTTCTTTTCTGTGTACACCTTTCACCCAGGTTGCAAGCTCTTGGAAGGCCAGGGTTGTCTTTATCTTATATTCTAATCTCTGTATTAGTTTTCTAGGCTGCCATAACAAAGCACCACAAACTGGGTGGCTGAAAACAACAGAAATGTATTGTCTTGCAGTTCTAGAGGTGGCAAGTCCAAAATCAAGGTGTGAGCAGGACTATGCTCCTCCTAAGCCTCTGGGGAGGATCCTTTCTTGCCTCTGCAGCTTCTGGAAACCCCAGAAGTACCTTGCTTCTATGGCAGCATCACTCTCATGTCTGCCTCTATCTTCCCATGGCTGTCTCTATTCGTGTATATGTGTCTCTTTGCCTCTTTTCCTCTTATAAGAATGCCAGTCTTGGCTGCTCTGCCTATGGAGTAGCCATTCTTTTGTTTCTTTACTTTCTTAATAAACTTGCTTTTGCAAAGAAAAAACAAATAAACAAAACACCAGTATTATGGGATTAAAGGCCCACTCTATTGCAGTATGACCTCATTTTAACTTGATTATACCTGCAAAGGGCGTATTTCCAAATAACATCTCACTTAAAGGTACTGGGGGTGAGAAATTCAACACATCCTTTAGAAACACAATTTAACCCATCTCACCTCTGTATTTCCACTTTGTTCTGTCATATACTATGCTCCATATGAATAATATTTGAAGACCAAGTAAACAAACAATGCATTTATTTTGTTTACAGAATCTGAAGTTTACTGGAATTAGTCTACCTGAACATGCAGCTGAACTGAGTGAGAACAAAGAGTCAACATAATAATGTTCTACCCAGTAAGTTATTTTATCCACAGGACCTTCCCTTTTTTCTGTCAGTAGGCATCACATCTCTAACTCTAGGGGGAAGGGAATCAGTGATCCTAACTAGCCACTTCCACAACCATCTATTACTCACCTACTGTTTGCAAAGTACTGTCTTTAGGAACATTATATTTAATTTAATCATCACAACAACCTTATGAAGTAGGTAGCAGAATTCATTTTGCTGATGAGAAAAATGAAGCACAGAGTGATTTGCTGATTTTTCCAAGACCACACAGGTAGTAATGGGAAAACAAGGCTTTGGACCAAGTCTCTCTGTCTCATTCAGGAAAAAGGCCAGAGTCTATGTTCTTAAGCCCTCAGTCTCACAGCCACATATTTCAATTTCTATAATTCTGCAACAGAAAGGAGGCAGAGGGAGACAGGGAAGGTGTCACACTTTCTGTGTCCAGACACATCGCTGATGGGCTGAGTGCACTCTACAACTAAGTATGAATTATATTTAGTTTGCTTCCTGTTTTTGATAATTAACAATGTCTCAACCTAGCCAACAGGGATAATAGCCAATTGAGTTTAAAATGTGAATTATTTATTACATCGACTATTAAACAGCATGTAAATATTTATCCATGACAGCTCATTGTAGTCTCTTTTGGGTGCGAATTAGAACACAGAGAGAAATGTAAGTAGATTACAGCCATGTTCTGATTTATCCAAAATTGATAGCCTTTGCAGATAATTTTTACATCAGGACTTTTTCTTTTTTCTTTCCCAATCAAAAACAGTAAACTGTTTAGGCTCAGCAATTTTTTTTTGTTTATCTTTTTTTTTTTAATTATTTTTTGAGACAGAGTATCCCATTGTTGCCCAGGCTGGAGTGCAGTGGCATGATCTCGGCTCACTGCAACCTCTGCCTCCTGGGTTTAAGCAACTCTCCTGCCTCAGCCTCTCAAGTAGCAGGGTAGCTGGGATTACAGTCATGTGCCACCATGGCCGGCTAATTTTTGTAGATTTTGCAGAGATGGGTTTCGCCATGTTGTCCAGGCTGGTCTCAAACTGCTGAGCTCAAGCAATCTGCCCACCTTGGCCTCTCCAAGTGCTGGGATTATAGATGTGAGCCACCACTCCTGGCCTAGACTCAGCTTTTTCTAACACCTGGGTTTTGTCTCTCCATTTTCCCCCTATTACTTGACAAGGAGTATTGGCCTATGTTCTGAGAGTAATTCTTTTAAAAGTAGACTGATGGGACCTGCCTGAGCCCCTCCCTTCTAAGATTAACTCACGAGTATTGGCCTGTTTTCTGGAAGGGGATTCTCAGTGCTGGAACAAATGCTGGGAATTTAGTGTTTGGGTATTGTTTTTATTAGGAAACCTTTAGGCTGAGACTCACATTGGTAACTGGACTTATTGTTATATTATTTTGTCTAGAGGAGGGTGAGGTAGTGCAGACAGGGAAACTGAGGTGGTGCTGTGTATGGCTCAGCCTGACACTTGCAATTCTAAGGTTATTATTTCATTTCTTGAATTGGATTTTATGTCTGTTTTTGAAATCATAATATTTAGAAACATAAGAGTTTTGTGTTTTAGACCCTTTCACTCATAGTAGTCTTATACATTCAGTTTATTCTTCAACCTGAAACTGTATTTTTATAACAAATTTTTTACATGAAAACAAAGGCCGGGTAGAAAGGTTAACCTGGGGATCTACTCTGTGGTAGTGGAAAGGGCACTAGATTTAACTTCTGACCACTCTTCACCAGATATAAGGACATGGAGATCTACATAATCTCTACAATCCTCAGTTTCCTCATCTGTAAAACATGGTAAAGGCTTCTAGAATGGTTTTCAGAAGTAAATAAAATTATTTAACAAATTTCCCAGCTCCTGGCACATGCTAATAGTAACAGGTTTACTTTATTTGAGAAGGCATATTTTATGCAGGGGAAAAAGAGTGCAGAATAGAGAGAGACACTTCCAGGAGCTGTTTTACCCAATGATGAGGAATTAACTGACACCCCATGGGGATGAAAACAAACCAGCAGTACTTCTACCTTATTCTGTATCAGATGTTGCCACCACATCTAGGCATCCCATATTACCATCTAGAAAACTCAGAGTGCTTTTGTAGCAAACTTATTTAGAAATCATCAAATGCAGCACTTCAGGAATTTAAAAACTGTGTCTTTACAACCATTTTAGATGGTAAATAGGTCATTGATATGGCATTTAAATATTGTCCACACTGTGAGAAACCAATTCTATTTTCAATTATAATTCAAGTCTAATTTCACCAAGGAGAAAAATCTCGATTTCTTCCCACTATAACTTTAGTATTGCCATAAGCCTAACACACACACACACACATGCACACACGTGCACACACACTTCAAAATAATAATTATCAGACTTCTAATGCTTAGCAGTTAACTGTACCTAAAAAGATTTTAGCAATTTGGGGGTCATTGACCAATTTTCTTCTTACTGTTTTTTTTTCAAATTTATTATTATTTTTTAAGTTGGCAGATACATCTATATGTGTAGTAAGCCTCCCACATTCATGGGTTCTGCATCCATGGACTCAATCCAACCATGGATGGAAAATACTCCAAAAAAATTTGCATCTGTACTGAACACGTTATAGACTTTTGTCTTGCTCTTCTCTAACCAGTATAATATAACAATTATTTACACAGCATTTACATTTTATTAGGTATTATAAGTAATCTAAAGATGATTTAAAGTATAAGGGAGAATATGCAGCTGTTATGTCAAATACTATGCCATTTTATGACAAGAACTCAAGCATTGTCTGATTTTGGTCTTCCATGGGAGGTTCTGGAACCGATACCCCACAGATACAGAGGAACTGCTGTATTTATAGCATACAACATGATGTTTTGTAGTATACATACAAAGTGGAACGATAACTCTGGCTAATTAACATATGCATTACCTCATGTAGTTATCATGTGGGGAGAGCACTGAACATTCACCCTCTCAGAATCCTATCATTTGTGACAACATGGATGAACCTGGAAGACATTATGTTAAGTGAAATAAAACAGGAAAGATAAGTACTGCGTGATCTCACTCATATATGGAATCTAAAAGAGATGATTTCATAAAAGTAGACAGTAAAATGACAGTTACAATACATTGGGGCATTTGGGGTGGGGATCAAGAAGTTGTTGGTCTCCTTACTTTATTACAACTGATGCTGTCCTTGTTTACAAGATACCATATTGTTTATTTTACAGATAGATTTATTTACCTAAAACAAACTGATTTAAAGATAACCATCAGAGAAGTGGATTGGTGAACAAATTAATCTGGGAATTGCTCAATATATCCAAACTTCTAATTTTCAATAAAGAAGTCTTAGATCCAGAAAATTCAGTTTTTCTCTGGATAAAAAAGTAATTCCGTTTGGTATCCATATCCTGACTCTCACTTAGTCTGAGGTGTATCCCAGGCTTGAGAGCAAAGCAAAATGGGGTGTCATGTAGGACAGCCATAAGAGGAAGTATTTTGAGTCCTCAGCTCTACAGAAAAGAAAAGAAAATGAAAAGTGACAGATTACCAGAAGACCCAAATTGCATTACTGAATATTTATGTGGATATTTCTTATAGTTAATAGAAATGTATAATATTTCTATTGGTCTAATGCTAATCATTTAGCATCCTTGATGTCAAATCATTTTGCAGTTTTTCTTCTGTTTTAGCAAAATGTGCATTCCTTAAGTTAGGATTCTGGCTTGTTTTCCAGATCATCATAGACGCTTAATCCATAATACATTTTAAAAACCCCATCCTGTATTCTGAGGGAACATGCTACAAATGGTCACTACTGTTAGCAGAGGTAAAAGAGACATGTAAACACAGTCAGGTGGGGACAATTGTTGCCATTAAAACACATATTTTGGCCGGGCGCGGTGGCTCACACCTGTAATCCCAGCACTTTAGGAGGCCGAGATGGGCGGATCACAAGGTCAGGAGATCGAGACCATCCTGGCTAACACGGTGAAACCCCGTCTCTGCTAAAAATACAAAAATTAGCCGGGCATGGTGGCGCGCACCTGTAGTCCCAGCTACACGGGAGGCTGAGGCAGGAGAATGGCGTGAACCCGGGAGGCGGAGCTTGCAGTGAGTCGAGATCACGCCACTGCACTCCAGCCTGGGCGACAGAGCGAAACTCCGTCTCAAAAAAAAAAAAAAAACAAAAAAAAAACCACATATTTTATGATTCTGCTTAGGGGATAATAAGCAGAAAATGAAAACAAAACAAAAACATGTTTTGCTGAACATATTTTCTCAATTTGTCTTATAGTTCAAATCATAAATGAGTAAAGGAAGTAGTAAAATTGTAAAGTACAAAATCAGTGGAATATTCAGAAGTTTTATATTAAGTGAAAGTTGCCCTTATAATTACCTTATTTTCACTTTAATGGTAGAATCACTTGAACCCATGACGTGGAGGTTGCAGTGAGCCAAGATTGCACCATTGGACTCCAGCCTGGGCAACAAGAGTGAAACTCCATCTCAAAAAAACAAAAATGCCCAACATCACTGATCATCAGAAAAATGCAAATCAAAACTACAATGAGATATCATCATCTCACCCAAGTTAGAATGGCTTATATACAGAAGACAGGCAATAACAAATGCTGGTGAGGATGTGGAGAAAAGGGAAACCTTGTATGCTGTAGATGTGAATGTACATTAGTACAACCACATGAAAAAGTTTAGAGTTATTCAAAAACTAAAAATTGAGCTAATATGTGAACCAGAAATCCTACTGCTGGGCATATACCCCAAAGAAAGGAAATTAGTGTATCAAAGAAGTATCTGGACTCCTATGTTTGTTGTGGCACTGTTTCCAACAGTTAAGATTTGAAAGCAACTGAAATGTCCATCAACACATGAATAGATAAAGAAAATGTGGTGTATATACTATTCAGCCATAAAAATAAATGAGATCCAGTCATTTGCAACAACATGAATGGAATGGGAGATCATTATGTTAAGTGAAATAAGCCAGACACAGAAAGACAAACACCACATGTTCTCACTTATTTGTGGGATCTAAAAGTCAAAAGAATTGAACTCATGGACATTTGGGTAGAAGGACAATTACCAGAAACTGGAGGTGAGGAAGGCCATTGGGTACAAAAAAAGAGTTATAATGAATAAGACTTACTATTTGATAGCACAACAGGTTGATTATAGTCAATAATAATTTAATTGTATATTTCAAAATAACTTAAAGAGTATAACTGGATTATTTGCATCTCAAAGAACAAATACTTGAGGGGATGAATATCCCATTTTCCCTTATGTGCTTATTTCACATTGCATGCTTGCATCAAAATGTCTCATATACTCCATATATATATATATATATATATATATATATATATATAGTGTTAGTCCATTCTCACACTGCTAATAAAGACATACCCAAGACTAGGTAGTTTATTGAAGAAAAAGAAGTTTAATGGACTCACAATTCCACATGGCTGGTGAGACCTCACAGTCATGGTGGAAGGGGAGGCAGTAGCAACAGAATGTCTTACATGGTGGCAGGTAAGAGAGAGCTTGTGCAGGGAAACTGCCCTTTATAAAACCATAAGATCTTGTGAGACTTATTCACTACTATGAGAACAGCACAGGAAAAACCCACCTGCATGATTCAATTACCTCTCACTGGGTCCCTCCCACGACACATGGGGATTATGGGAGCTACAATGGAAGATGAGATTTAGGTGAGAACACAGACAAACCATATAACATACCTACTATGTACCCACAAAAATAAAAATAAGTAAAAATTAAAATTTTAAAAATTAAAAATAAAATAAATATCTGAGGTGATGGACATACTAATTACCCTGATTTTATTACTAAACATTGTAAAGAAATATGGAAATATCACTTCATATCCAATAAATATAATTATTACATATCAACTAAAAAATAAATGAAAGGTAGTTAACCTCTAATTCTATTTTATTTAACTATGTATTCAATTATTTATAAAGATGAACTTTTCGGTATATATTTTACAATTACGGTTATATTTCAAAACTGTGTTATTTATTTTGTTGCTAAAAATTTTTACAGCTTTGGCCGTTGTAGGCTGTTTCAGTTGACTCCTGTGTCCCCATCACCGTTTGTGTGCATGTTTTAGCACTTCTGTATTTCCACCGCTGTGAAACGCTCATTTATTTTGTACACTCTCAGTTAAAAATCTAGAATCAAACATTTCTTCAAGAAGCCTTGATCACTTTATTGGAGAATGGTATGAGAAACAAAGATTTGGTTGATAGAAGACCATTTTTAATTCTAGTCAAAAACGTCATTTATCACTCAAATTAACACCTCTAATTGCAAGAGTGGGCTACCTCTTTTTTCCATAATCCAAGACAAATTGAAGATTAAGTTATCTATCACATCTGGCTCATGTTCCAAAAGGGACACTTGAGGGGATGACATTCCCCAGACTCTTAAATTTTGCATAATTCATATTAAGCACTTCTCCTGGGAAGGCAAAAGAGAAAATTTTCCCAGTCAAAAATCCTGCGTGAGGGTAGATTTCAGAAAGTGTTGGATGAATCTGGAACCAATTTAGTTTGCCTTCTACCATTAAGATGGGGATGTAAACTTCTTTGTGAGACCAAAGAGAGCCTCGTATCAGAATAGTTATATATTAATTTATAAGCACTTTTAAAATTCTCATTTGAATAAGTAGCCTCCAAATTATATTGGGAAGAAAAGAGGGCAATTGAACATCCTAATATAGCATACTCTCTTATCAAAGCTGGTAAGGTCTGTATAGGAGAATAACTTAGTCGTATCTAACATTCAGAGAAGGTGGATCTGATCAATACAACAGCCAGGAACTAACATATACAAGACACTGGTGGGAGGTGGGGAAATTCAAGGACTTTTCTAGAAGTGCTTTACAATCTAAAGTGAAAAGATGGAAATAAAAATCATGCACAGAATTTCTTGATGGAAATGGGCACTACCAGGTAAGAGCTGTTGGTAGAAGTGGGTAGGAGATAATTAAACAGAAACAGCCTACTCTGGGCAAACTGCCTAAGGGTAGCTCTGCTCTGCAAGGAGCAGTAATAAAATAAATAATAAACAAACAGAAATAAAATCTATTGGGGTGTTCCAGGAAGTGCTCCATGAAGGTGATGATGTCGCCCACGGTAGGATGCTGGCTTCCTTCTCCTTAATGCAGCTAAATATAAAATAGTATAAAACATTAATGATTTGGATCTATAAGAATTTCTCTTAATTCTTTGATTCATTCAACAGATATCAAAAACCTACTTTTTTATAAGTGCTGTAATTCAGCAGTGAACAGATAAAAATACCCTTTCTTATGTTGCTTCATTCTAATGTATAGTACTATAAAAATGTGTAATGATGTCTATTTGTATCTATTTATTCCTGCTTATTCATGTCTATTCTGGAGATACATGCATGTGTGTGTGTCTTTTTATAATACTTAATTCAGAGAAGACAAATACAATTTTTTATTTCTGTTTGCTAAAGAGCTTTCACAAACCTTCAATACAGGAAGTGAATCTCCAGTTAGTGACAGTGTGTCTGCATATGTTGTATTTACAGAGCCCTGAGTTTCAACACTACTGCTATATCTGACTTACTCAAATTTGTGAGGCTTAATGTAGCCCTAAGAATACCACTAGAATTCCTGTCTACAACAAGACAGTTGTGATGGCTCAGGGATATGCCATCACAAGGTGAATAACAACCCATCTCCCAAGGTAAAGCTTTTAAAACATTATTTTCGATGTAGCATTATTATGACACATTGTCAAATACTACCAAAGTGAATATTTTTTAATGTAGTTATTTCTCCCATGTCTAATGCCAAGAATGCAATTTCCCCGCTCAGAGTCATTATAGTTTTTTCATACTCTTCTACTATAATTCATGTATAGAAATATGCAGGTGTGTGTAGTATATATTGTACTGATGTTAAGGAAAATGTTACAATTCTAAGCATGCAATATTAATCTCTTACATTTCAATTTACACCATATGTCAGGGACAATTTTGTGTGTGTGTGTGTGTGCGTGCGTGTGCATATAAACACACAGCTATCTGTATCTGCTTCATTCTTATTAATGTTTGCGTAAAAATATCATCCTTGATTCATTAATGTCCCTTCTGATGGGCACTAAAGTTGTTTCCTATCTCTTGCTACCATCTAAAAAGGCAAAATGATTGTCCTTGTTTCTGTGAATGAGTGCGTCTATAGGAAACGGAATAACTGGATCAATATCTATATCCGGTTGTCATATAATAGATACTGAAGTCACTTTCTAGAAGGTTGCACCCACTTACATTCCCACCAAAAGTTTGTAGGGTTGACGGTTTCCCACACCTTTGTCAAGACTATTTGTTAAGACATTTATCAAAAGGATTACTTTATTAACCTGATAGGTGAAAATTATCTAACTGGAATTTTAACTTGAATGTATTTAACTATGAAAGAAATTGAGCATCTTTCCAGAGGCATAATCTTTATAATAAGGAGAACAGTCTCTTTTAAGATGGGTTATTTTTCCAATGTTCATTTGTGTCATATTTTTCAGAAACTTATCTGTGAAATCAATTTACATTTTAAAAAGCTATGCTTTTGTCTGGCAAATGTGTTGTAAATGTATTTTATCATATTGACACTTCCCTTTTAATTTTTTACTGTGTTGCTATTTGGAATATATATGTGAAAAAGTATATGGAAAAATTTGTTCAATATTTGAAATATGCAAATAAATATTAATTCCCATTATATATTTAACTTCTCTTTCTTGAAGTCAGGATATGGGATTCATAAGAACATACAAACTAAAAATTCTATTGAAAGTTTCAGTCCTGACTTGGAGCGCATAGATCTCATTTTCTAAATCACTGATGCTTACCTGCAAACCTGAAATTTGAAAGAATGTCCTGATTTATGTGTCAATTATTCTTCCACTTTTTTCCTCATTTTAGCCTCAGTGTCTACTTGTCTCTTAAGAAAACTTTATGAAGAACCCAGAAAAATAAGGAAAGATGGACGAATTTAACTTTGGACAACACAGTATAACAAAGCAGTACAAAGTTGAATAATAAAGGATGAATTTGGAACTGAAAATAATTAGAAAATTTTCAGAGGTAAATTAAAAGGAAATAAAGATAGTCAAGGCAAGAGGTTAAAATAATTCTCATGTTGGACTGTAATGATTGACTTTTTGCTCATTGCAAAAATTTTATGTTTATTGTCTCTTTCTCTGTGTATGTGTGTGTGTGTGCACACACACCCACATACATGTAAATTTTATTAAGGAAGGTATTCTCAAGTATTTAAACAACATCATTAGAATGATCTGTATATTTAGGAAGTAAATATATTATAATGGTACTGTCAGGTTCAAATAATGTGAAAGCCTATTGTAGTAAGTCATGTACATTTTCATCTGTTACCGCAACACAGTACAAAATATTTATTATTCTTGGCTATAAGCTAAAGGAACACATTCAGCTCAGAAGACACCTACTCATACCAAACCCCTAAATTAATGTTTACTTTGTTTGAAAAATCATTTGCTTTTAAGTTATTTTTCTATTTCTAATTGTATTATTTTCATGTGTAATTTTGTCATGCCACTGCAGTCCAGCCTAGAGGACAGAGCGACATTCTGTTTCAAAAATAATAATAATAATATTTTGGTAAATATATTGAATAGTTACTATGAATTCCATTTCACTCAGAAAAAAATACAAAGAATTGTCAATAATAAGCCATTGGAAAGTTGCAATTTCATTGCAAGAATATGTATTTGACCTCTAAATTTAGAATCTATTTCTTTTTTTCTTTTGCAGATTAACTAGTTCTAATCTGTGGTTTCTTCACATCAACTGAAACAATGCAGCAAAATAACAGTGTGCCTGAATTCATACTGTTAGGATTAACACAGGATCCCTTGAGGCAGAAAATAGTGTTTGTAATCTTCTTAATTTTCTATATGGGAACTGTGGTGGGGAATATGCTCATTATTGTGACCATCAAGTCCAGCCGGACACTAGGAAGCCCCATGTACTTCTTTCTATTTTATTTGTCCTTTGCAGATTCTTGCTTTTCAACTTCCACAGCCCCTAGATTAATTGTGGATGCTCTCTCTGAAAAGAAAATTATAACCTACAATGAGTGCATGACACAAGTCTTTGCACTACATTTATTTGGCTGCATGGAGATCTTTGTCCTCATTCTCATGGCTGTTGATCGCTATGTGGCCATCTGTAAGCCCTTGCGTTACCCAACCATCATGAGCCAGCAGGTCTGCATCATCCTGATTGTTCTTGCCTGGATAGGGTCTTTAATACACTCTACAGCTCAGATTATCCTGGCCTTAAGATTGCCTTTCTGTGGACCCTATTTGATTGATCATTATTGCTGTGATTTGCAGCCCTTGTTGAAACTTGCCTGCATGGACACTTACATGATCAACCTGCTGTTGGTGTCTAACAGTGGGGCAATTTGCTCAAGTAGTTTCATGATTTTGATAATTTCATATATTGTCATCTTGCATTCACTGAGAAACCACAGTGCCAAAGGGAAGAAAAAGGCTCTCTCCGCTTGCACGTCTCACATAATTGTAGTCATCTTATTCTTTGGCCCATGTATATTCATATATACACGCCCCCCGACCACTTTCCCCATGGACAAGATGGTGGCAGTATTTTATACTATTGGAACACCCTTTCTCAATCCACTCATCTACACACTGAGGAATGCAGAAGTGAAAAATGCCATGAGAAAGTTATGGCATGGCAAAATTATTTCAGAAAACAAAGGATAAATTGAGGGCCTGACCTGATTACTTTTTCAGTCAAATCATGATTTAACAGAGTAAGTATAGACAGCAAATAGGAAAGTACCTGAATGCTGTGGGAATAATATATCATCGTATCTAAGTTTGTGGGTTCCTATGTTTTCTAGTTAACAGGAGTTGTGACTACCAAGACATTGTCTTTTGTGCCAGAACTAGGTAGAATATAGATTAATTCAGGTGATTACCTACCAGTAGTCTTTTCTTTTCAGATTATCTTCCTTTCCAGCCATGCATTTTCTAAAGTGTAAGCCTGACTATCTCTATGCACTCTAATCTAATGCATCTGATTTTCTTACTTCTTTCCTGTGCTTTTGACCACAGACTGATAAACTCCCTGAAATCTTCAATTTGGCTCTTCCTTTTCCTAAGAGCCCAATTCTGCCATTGCTGGTTGTGAACTACACATCACAACTCTGTCTACACTCTGGTTTAATAAAAAGAAAGACATTTATACAATCACAAGTGTTCAAATTTGTGAGCACCAACAAAGAAATGTCAAATTCCTTCCCTAATGCATTTGCAATAAGGTATCAAGCTTCCTCCTGAACACTTCTAGGGAAAAGGAACTAACTCAGTATATCAAGATGCCCATTTACATTTTATCACTACTTTGTATTTAAAAAGTTCTGTATTTTTGAGTCAGAGGCTAATATACTGGAGATACAACATATTTCCTGAGCCTGAAGTGCAGAAGGGTAGAACATGGTTGAAACCAAAAATGGTATGATCTATTGTGTTTAAAGTTGGGTGATGTCAATGAAATAAATAAAATTATCACAGGAATTCAGAAAACACTCAGGACACTTGTCTCTAGTGGGTTCTCCCTAAACAGGGAACCCACTACTGCTATAGGAAGTTACATCTCTATTTATTCTGTCCTAATAATTGGGGCTGCATAGAATCACAAGTTAGAATTGGCAATGGAATTTTCATGCCCAGAGTGAGGACAGCAGATAAAAAGCGGCACTTTAGATATTCATATTATGGACTTTTAATATTCATCTGTTTCAGTGTAATAAGTGTACCACATCTTTAATAACTGTTGACAGATTCAATTTCATTTTTAACCTTATTTATCATTATTTAATGAAAAATATTACCAATTGAAATTATTTTCTCCTGTCAAATATAAATTTAAAATAAATTCAATTAAATAACATGTTTTTTAATGTGCTCACTTCATTTTGTTTTCTGTGATGTAATGTTTCCAGTGTTCACACTAGTGTCCCAAAGTTGACATGTCATACACGAGAAAGGCCATATATTTAATAGACAATGGAAATGTAATGATTCCATTATTAACTTATCTAATATCCTTCACTACAACAACAAATGTACATACACACACACACACACACACATATGCACACACATACCATATAAAATCTTTTATGTTGATTTGCATTGCAGATAAATAATTGAACATTAAAAGTTAGGAAAAAGGTATATGGGTAAGCACAGGCACAGGAAAAAAAAGAAAACGAATAAACTAAAATATAAATAAATAAATCAAGATTGGAAAATATAATAAGAGGAAGCTATATGGGGAAGAATATTGAAATGTTTTGTGTATTGTAGAAGTACTATTAGTTAAATCGAAATGGAAAATAAAGATAAAATATTTTAAATGTTCTGCAACACCATATCCATTCAATGGGTAACTTTGGAGTGACCATCCTCCCTCAAAAGTGATTGACCTAAAAGAAAAAGTATGAATTCTGATTATCTCTTCATTTCAGGAACAAGTAGCGTTTAAATGTGTCCAAATTCTTTGTTTTTATTATACTTGTGTCTACTAAAATAATACAAAGTTTGGTATTTCTATTGAAAAATTAAATTTCAAGGTGAAAAATCTAAAGGTGAGAGAACTGAACAAATTAGTCCCTTGAGATTGTCTTGCTGAGAAGTAACAGCATTAAGGTTTTAACTCAGTTCTATATGTCTCCTATGTTGGTAAAAAAAAATCTTAATTCAAACATCTTTTCAAATGGCCAAAAATATAAAAAGTATAAGGAAGTTGATGCAGTGATTATGAATTGCACTTATTTTAACTTTAAGATGGGTGGTGGAATATAATGATTAAAGTAGTAAGCACTCTAGAGTCACACTACATAAATCCAAATCCTGGCTTTACCAATTTAAAGCCTTGTAACTTTAAGAAAAATATATGAAATCTTAGGCCTAATTTTTATCTGTAAATCAAAAGTTAAAATAGTTTATATTTAATTGGCTTGTCATCAGAATTAAAGAAAATGATATTCATAAAGAGCTTAAAAATAACAAATTTAATATGAACCGTTTTCACAATAAAATAGATTTTTCAAAAAATTAATTTAAATCTATGTTTTTATTACTATAAACCATCCATATTTATTAACGTTTTTCTTTTATTTTCAAAGAATGTCATTTATAATTTGAAATAAAATTTAACTGAAAATAATACCGTCAAGTTTTGTTTTAATAGGATTAAATAAAAACATAACAGAATTTTAAGCATATTGGTATCACTTTAAAATAAAAGGAGGGAGTCTTTATGGAACATGCTCCGGTATCTGCACATTTGCATCTTCAACTTTAAATAGTCCGTATGTAAAGGAAAGAGAGGAGTATCCTTCTGATATGAACATATAAGAGGGTAATCATAAAGTAGGGCAAAGGGATATCAATTTAAATTGGTTTCTGGCATGTAACTGAGGTTTAAAATAGGAGAGATAAGAGGTGAACAAACTCTAGATTATCATTTACATATAGTTATTAGCACATAAGCTGGAATAGTGTATTCTACTTTTCACTCTTCTGATTCCTTCTCTATTCTTCATTTCACCTGAATGCTGACACAAGGTGCAAGAGACAGATGATTGAAAATCTATTTATATTGAGGTCCCACAAGAACAATTTTTGGTTAATTGATTGGACTACTGAATACTTAATGAAATTTTCTTTCCTCTTTAACCTCCTTTTCCCTTGTCTTCCCATCTATTTTCTACCATGGTTATACACACACTTTTAGAAGACACCATTGAGAAGCAGTGTTGTAAAAACAAAGTAAAATTAGAGAGGAACATATATGGGTAGATAAGCATATAAAAATATGCTTAACACTATGTGTTATTAAGGAATTGTGAATTAAAACAATGAGATACAACTACACCCCTATTATAATGACCAGAATTCAAAATAATAACAACACCAAATGTTGACAAGGATGTGGGACAACAGGAACTCTTATACATTGCATAGAAAGGGAAATGAAAATTGACATTGAAGAAGCTTAAAGTTTTCCAAATAGGTTGAACCTAAAAATATCATTATAAAGACACATTGTAAATAAAATATTAGAATGAAAAGACAAAGAGGTTGATCATGGAAAGTAATGTTAGCAGCATGGCAGAATAGGAGTTCTCCAGCTTCACTCCCCTGATGCTGACAGAAATTCAACTAGCAACTAACCAGAGGCAAAAAAATACTATAATGAGCATTCCAGAACTTGAGAGTGAGTCTGAGAAACCCTTTTGGACCAGAGAACTGAGGAAAGCCACATTTTCACATCTTCCTCATCCCAGGAGCCAACTGCAAGTCAGTGTTATCCATGGAGGGAGCGTCTGCCCCCATTAAACCCCAGCAGCTGCATCATAAGTGGACCAAGCCTCAGTACTCTGCTTAAGACTACCCTAGGCTGGGAGGCAAGCCCAAGTAAAAACATATCAAGCGTAGTCTTAGGCCCTGCCATACCTGTGTGGCCTAGCAGCAAGCCCATAGACCTCACCCTGTTTCAGATTCCAGCACACAGCTCTGCAAAACTGCAGATTCCAAACAACAATGGTGCAGCTAGGAGAGACATCCTGTCACCCTGCCTAATCAGAGATGTTTGTATTGCCAACCAGCAGCTCCATTTTGTGTCAGAGTGATCTCATCAGTCCATGAAGCATAGCCATCAGTATCATTTAACCTCAGAAGACAAAACATTATCCAGCACAACTAGATAACCCAACACCATGGTCTGCCTGTCTGGAGTTGCTACCAGCCAGCTCATCCAGAACCCAGAATAGACAAATAATAAAGGTTTGTCACCACCAAAGGTAGAAGAGGAGGTTATCTTCTCAAATGCACTGGTATCTATCTAAGAACACAAAGATTATGAAAAGTCAAGTAAACATAACATCATGAAAAGATCTAATAAAGTTCCAATAATAGACTCAGAAGAAGTGCAGATCTGTGAAACAACTGACAAAAGAATTCAAAATAATCCTTTTAAAGAGGTTCAGAGAACTTTAAGAAAATATAAATACAAAATTAAATAAAATTTGGAAAACAATGAACAAAATGAAAGATTTTACAAAGAAATAGAAACAATTTTAAAAGAAAATCAAAATCCTAGAGATAAAGAATAACTACATTAAAAAAATTCAATGGAAAGCTACAAAAGCAGTCTTGAAAAAAAAGAAAAAAATCAGTGAACTCAAAGATAAGACATCTGAAACTATCCAGTTAGAAGAGCAAAAATAAAAAATGAATGAAAAAAATAAAGAAGGACTACAGGAATCATGGGACATCATCTGACAAACTATTATTTATACTTTAAAAAGTTTATGAAGCAGAGACAGCAAAAGACCCAGAAAACGTATTTAAGAAAATAATAGATAAAACTTTGTAAATCTGGGGAAAGCCAACATCATCCACGTGCAGGAAGGTTAGTTGTCACCAATCAAATTCAACTGAAAGAGGAATTCACCAAGACAATCATCATCAAATTATCAAAGACAAAGAATACTGAAGACAGCAAGAATTAAAAAAACATTCACGGGGGGTGGAGCCAAGATGGCCGAATAGGAACAGCTCCAGTCTACAGCTCCAAGCATGAGCGATGCAGAAGATGTGTGATTTCTGCATTTCCAACTGAGGTACTGGGTTCATCTCACTGGGGAATGTTGGAAAGTGGGTGCAGGACAGTGGGTGCAGCACACTGAGCATGAGCCGAAGCAGGGTGAAGCATCGCCTCACCTGGGAAGCACAAGGGGTCTGGAAATTCCCTTTCCTAGGCAAAGAAAGAGGTGACAGATGGCACCTGGAAAATTGGGTTACTCTCACCCTAGTACTCCGCTTTTCCAACAGGCTTAGCAAACTTCACACCAGATTCTATCCCGCAACTGGCTAGGATAGACCAATAACAGGCTCTGAAATTGCAGCAATAATTAATAGCCTACCAACCAAAAAAAGTCCAGGACAAGATGGATTCACAGCCGAATTCTACCAGTGGTACAAGGAGGAGCTGGTACCATTCCTTCTGAAGCTATTCCAATCAATAGAAAAAGAGGGAATCCTCCCTAACTCATTTTGTGAGGCCAGCATACTGCTGATACCAAAGCCTGGCAGAGATACAACAAAAAAAGAGAATTTTAGACCAATATCCCTGATGAACATCGATGCAGAAATACTCAATAAACTACTGGCAAACAAAATCCAGCAGCACATCAAAAAGCTTATCCACCATGATCAAGTGGGCTTCATCCCTAGGATGCAAGGCCCGTTCAACAGACACAAATCAATAAACCTAATCCAGCATATAAACAGAACCAAAGACAAAAACCACATGATTATCTCAATAGATGCAGAAAAGGCCTTTGACAAAATTCAACAATGCTTCATGCTAAAAACTGTCAATAAATTAGGTATTGATGGGACATATCTCAAAATAATAAGAGCTATCTATGACAAACCCACAGCCAATATCATACTGAATGGGCAAAAACTGGAAGCATTCCCTTTGAAAACTGGCACAAGACAGGGATGCCCTCTCTCACAACTCCTATTGAACATAGTGTTGGAAGTTCTGGCCAGGGCAATCAGGCAGGAGAAGGAAATAAAGGGTATTCAATTAGGAAAAGAGGAAGTCAAATTGTCCTTGTTTGCAGATGACATGATTGTATATCCAGAAAACACCATCATCTCAGCCCAAAATCTCCTTCAGCTGATAGGCAACTTGAGCAAAGTGTCAGGATACAAAATCAATGTGTAAAAATCACAAACATTCTTATACACCAATAACAGACAAACAGAGAGCCAAATCATGAGTGAACTCCCATTCACAATTGCTTCAAAGAGAATAAAATACCTAGGGATCCAACTTACAAGGGATGTGAAGGACCTCTTCAAGGAGACCTACAAACCACTGCTTAATGAAATAAAAGAAGATACAAGCAAAGGGAAGAGCATTCTATGCTCATAGGTAGGAAGAATCAATATCGTGAAAATGGCCATACTGCCCAAGGTAATTTATAGATTAAATGCCATCCCCGTCAAGCTACCAATGACTTTCTTCACAGAACTGGAAAAAACTACTTTAAAGTTCATATGTAACCAAAAACTAGCCCACATTGCCAAGTCAATCTGAAGCCAAAAGAACAAAGCTGGAGGCCCCATGCTACCTGACTTCAAACTATAATACAAGGCTACTGTAACCAAAACAGCATGGTACTGGTACCGAAACAGAGATATATATCAATGAAACAGAACAGAGCCCTCAGAAATAATGCTGCATATCTACAACCATCTGATCTTGGACAAACCTGACAAAAGCAAGAAATGGGGAAAGGATTCCCTATTTAATAAATGGTGCTGGGAAAACTGGCTAGCCATATGTAGAAAGCTGAAACTAGATCTCTTCCTTACACCGTATACAAAAATTAATTCAAGATGGATTAAAGACTTAAATGTTAGACCTAAAAACATAAAAACCCTAGAGGAAACCTAGGCAATATCATTCAGTACATAGGCATGGACAAGCTCTTCATGTCTAAAACAACAAAAGCAATGGCAACAAAAGCCAAAATTGACAAATGGAATTTAATTAAACTCAAGAGCTTCTGCACAGCAAAAGATACTACCATCAGAGTACACAGGCAACCAACAGAATGGGAGAAAATTTTCGCAACCTACTCATCTGACAAAGGGCTAATATCCAGAATCTACAATGAACTCAAACAAATTTACAAGAAAAAAACAAAACCCCATCAACAAGTGGGCAAAGATATGAACAGATACTTCTCAAAAGAAGATATTTATGCAGCCAAAAGACACATGAAAAAGTGCTCATCATCACTGGCCATCAGAGAAATGCAAATCAAAACCACAATGAGATACCATCTCACACCATTTAGAATGGTAATCATTAAAAAGTCAGGGAACAACAGGTGCTGGAGAGGATGTGGAGAATTAGGAAATCTTTTACACTGTTGGTGGGACTGTAAACTAGTTCAACCATTGTGGAAGTCAGTGTGGCGATTCCTCAGGGATCTAGAACTAGAAATACCATTTGACCCAGCCATCCCATTACTGGATATATATCCAAAGGATTATAAATCATGCTGCTATAAAGACACATGCACACCTATGTTTATTGCAGCACTATTCACAATAACAAAGACTTGGAACCAAGCCAAGTGTCCAACAATGATAGACTGGATTAAGAAAATGTGGCACATATACACCATAGAATACTATGCAGCCATAAAAAATGATGAGTTCATGTCCTTTGTAGAGAAATAGATGAAGCTGGAAACAATCATTCTCAGCAAACTATCGCAAGGACAAAAAACCAAACACCGCCTGTTGTCGCTCATAGGTGGGAATTGAACAATGAGAACACATGGACACAGGAAGGGGAACATCACACACCAGGGCCTGTTGTGGGGTGGGGGGAGGGGAGAGGGATAGCATTAGGAAATATATCTAATGTTAAATGACAAGTTACTGGGTGCAGCACACCACCATGGCACATGTATACATATGTAAATAACCTGCACATTGTGCACATGTACCCTAAAACTTAAAGTATAAAAAGAAATGCACACTGAAAGAAGCCCAAATACAGCTTTCAGAAGATTTTTCAGCACAAACTCTTTAGGCAAGAAGAAATTGGGGTTACATATCCAACGTGCTGAAAACAAACAAACAAACAAACAGTCAACTAAGAATACTTTACCTGGCAAATCTGTTCTTCAGAAAAAAAGGAGAAATAAAAACGTTCCCAGACAAACAAAAGTTAAGGGAGTTCATCACCAGGAGGTCTTCAGAGGAATTACCAAAAGTCTAAAATTTATGACATGACACATATGAAACTAAAAATATGTCAACGGCATAAGTAATTCATACTCAGAGTTCTCTAATACTGTAAGGTTAGTGTGTAAAAAAAGTTGTATCACTACGTAAGTTTTAAAAGACAAAACTATTGAAAACAACTGTAGCTACAATAAATTGTTAAGGCATAAAAATTACAAAAACAAATATAAATGTTGACATCAAAATCCTAAAAAGTGAATGGGATGAAAGTATAGAGTTTTTCTATGCAATGAAAGGAAAGTTGTTATCAGCTCAAAGTATACTGTTATAAGATTAAGATATTTTATGTAAGCTCCATGTTTACCATGAAGCAAAAACCTGTAGTATTTGCACCTAACATGAAAAGGACTCAAAGCACACCACCACATAAAACCTTCAAACTACAAAAGAAGACAAGACAGGAAGAATCAAAAGATCTGAAAAAAATGAAAAAAGTAAAAAAATCAGAACACAAATTGTAAATGGCAGTAGTAAGTTCTTACCTATTGATAGTTACCTTAAATATAAATGAGTTATATTCTCCAATAAAAACATTTACAGCAACTGATTGGATTAAAAAACAATATACAACAATATGCTGCCTATAAGAGACTCATTTTACTAGTAAGAACACACATAAATTAAAAGTGAAGGGATGGAAGAAAATATTCCATGCAAATGGAAACCAAAAGAAAGCAGAGGTGGCTATATTTATATCTCAAAATAAGCCTTTAGCCAAAAACTGTGAAAAGAGACAAAGAAGATAATTCTATTAATATAATGATAAAAGGATAAATTCACCAAGAGACATAACAATTAACTATGACTGCACCCAATTGAACAGCAGAGCATCTAAATACATAAAGAAATTGTTAGCCAGGTGTGGTGACTCATACCTATAGTCCCAGCTACTCTGCAGGATAAGGCAGAAGTATCACTGAGTCCAGGAGTTCGAGGCTGCAGTGAGCTATGATAGCATCACTAGACTTCAACCTGGACTCCAGTCCTGTCTCAAAAAATAAAAATAAAAATAAATAATTTGGATAATATTGAATATTGAAAAAAATAAAAATAAATAATTTTAAAAATCCATTATTTAGTGTTCTGAAGGGAGAGAGTCTGACATAAAATAATAGCACCTCATGTTTAAAAATGAACAGGTCCACTGAAACAAGACAAGGATGTCCATTCTCAAAATTTATTTTTATATTTAAATTAGTACTGAAAGTATTAGCCAGATCAATTAGGCAAGATAAAGAAATAAAAGACATCCAAATGGGAAAAGAGAAGCACAATTATGCCTGTTTAAAGATGACATAACAAAATACAAAAACAAATACAAACATGCTAGACCTCAAAAAATACCGTAAAGTTGCTGAACACAAGTCAATATACAAAATTTAGTTGAATTTCTGTACACTAATGACAAAATCACTGGAAAAGATATTAAGAAAACAATCCCATTTAGTATAGCATCAAAAATAATAAAATTATTTTATTTTATTTTATTTTTATTATTATTTTTGTAAGACAGGGTCTCACTCTGTTGCCTAGGGTTAGAGTGCAGTGGTGCAATCATGGCTCGCTGCAGCCTCAATCTCCTGGATTCAACCCATCCTCCAGCCTCAGCATCCCAAATAGCTGAGACTACATGCATGCACCACCTACCCAGCTATTTTTTTAAATTCTTAATTATTATTTTTTGTGTGTGGAGACAAGATCTCACTATATTGCCCAGGCTTGCCTCAAACTCCCGAGGTTAAAGGATCATCCTGCTTCCATCTCCCATAGTGCTAGGATTACAGGAATGCACCACCATGCTCAGCCAAGAATAAAATTTGCAGATATAAACTTAACCAAGGAGATGAAAGACTTGTGCTTTAAAACTACAAATTATTGATGAACAAAATCAAAGAAGACACAAATAAATGAAAAGGTACACTTTGTTCATAGACTGGAAGACCTGGCAGTGTTAACAGTTCATGCAACAAAGGGATCAACAGATTCAATTCAATCTCTATCAAAATTTCAGTGGCTTTTTATACAGAAACAAAGGAAAATATTCTGAAATCCATGCAGACCTCATAATAACCCAGAATAATGAGAGTAATCTTTTTAGAAAGAACAAAGCTGCAGATACCACACTTCTTGACTTCAAAATATTTTACAAAACTATACTAATTTTAGTAGTATGACCCTAGCATAAATCCAGACATATAGTTCAATGGAACAGAATAGAGATTCTGCAAATAAATCCAGGCAGATATGGTCAACTCATCTTCAACAAGAATTACAAAAATACACCCTAAGGAAAAGAGAGTCATTTAAACAATGATACTGGGAAAACTGAATATCCATAAGCCAAATGACAAAAACAGACTCATTGTACAGCATAGTTTAAAAATCAATTCAAATTTAATTAGAGATTTAAAGACAAAGAACTAGAACTGTAAAACTTATAGTAGAAAAAAAAACAGGAAAAGATTCATCACATTGGTCTTGGAAATGATTTCATAGGTACAACAACAAAAGCACAAGCAACCAAAGACAAATAAGACAAGTGGGATGACACCAAACTAAAAGCTTCTACACAATAAAGGAATCAATCAACGCAGTAAGAGATAACCAGCATGATATGATTTGGCTGTGTCGCCACCCAAATCTCATCTTGAATTGTAGCTCCAGTAATTCCTATGTGTTGTGGGAGGGACTTGGTGAAAGATAATTGAATCACGGGGGCAGTTTCCCTCATTGTGTTCTCTTGGTAGTGAATAAGTCCCATAATATCTGGTGGTTTTATAAAGGGAAACAACTTTCACTTGGTTTTCATTCTTCCTTGTCTGCCACCATGTAAGACATGCTTTTCACCTTCCACTATGATTGTGAGTCTTTCCCAGCCACATAGAACTGTGAGTCCATTAAACCTCTTTATTTTTTAATAAATTACTCAATCTTGGGTATGTCTTTATTAGCAGCATGAGAACAGACTAATACATAGCACAAAAGCAGAAAATATTCACATAATATGTATCTAAGAGACTAATATTCAAAATATATAAGGAACTTCAACTCAATTTCCAAAAACAAATAGTCTAATTTAAAATGAGAAAAAAAGAATTGAATAACAATGAAAAGATTTTGAACATCATAATGTCATTAAATAATTGCAAATTAAAACAATAGGAGATTACTATACACTTATTTAGGATGCCAAACCAAAATACTGACAAGACAAAATGCTGGCACAGGGGAGGAACAACAGGAACTCTTATTATGAACTCTTATTATTAGGAACTCTTGTTTTGAGAATTCTCTACCAAGGCAAAATAGTACAGTTACTTTGTGAGACAGTTTGGAAGTTTTTTACAAAACTAAACATACTCTTACATGCAATGCAGCAATCACTCTCCTTTGTATTTACCAAAATGAGTTGAAAGCTTATGTCACAAAAAAACCTGCACTCATATGTTTACAGTAAGTTTATCCAGAAATGTGAAATATGGAAGCAACCAAAATGTCTTTGGTAGTTGAATGTATAAATAAACTATAGTACATCCACACAATAAAATAGTATTCAGTGCTAAGAAGAAATGAGCTATTAAGCCATAAAAAGACATGGAAGGGCCAGGCACGGCGCTTCAGGCCTGTAACCCAGCACTTTGGAAGGCCAAGGCAGGTGAATCAAAAGGTCAGGAGTTCAAGACCAGCCTGGCCAACATGGTGAACCCTGTCTCCACTAAAAATAGAAAAAATTATCTGGGAGTGGTGGTGGGCACCTGTAATCCCAGCTACTCAGGAGGTTGAGTCAGGAGAATCACATGAACCCAGGAGGCAGAGGTTGCTGTGAGCTGAGATTGTGCCACTGCACTCCAGGCCAGGTGACGGTGTGAGGCTCCATCTCAAAAAAAAAAAAAAAAAAAAAAAAAAAAAAAAAAGGAGAAAATTTAAATGCAGTGCTTAAATGACTAAGTGAAAGAAGTCAATCTGAAGGTATGATTCCAAATATACAATATTTTGGAAAAAAACTGTGGAGACAGTAAAAAGGTCAGTGGTTTCTAGGGTTGGAGGGAAGGAGTGATGAAGAGGCATAGCATAGACATTTTTCAGGGCAGTGAAAAAAATCAGTGCTATTATAATAGTGGATACATATATTAGACATCTGTCCACACCCATAGAATGTACAATAGCAAGAGTGAACCATGATATAAAATATAGAGTCTAGGTGATAACAATGTGTCAATGTAGCTTTATCAATTATACCAAATGTACCACCATGGTAAAGGATGTTGATAATGGAGAAGGCTATGTATGTGGGGGGCAGGGAGTATATGGGAAGTCTGTATACCTTCTGCCCAATTTTTCTTAGAACTTAAACTGCTCTATAAATAATATCTATTACAAATATTATGTTTACAGCAATGAAAGAAAGAATTAACAAATTGGATGTCACAAAATTTAAAAATCCTGTTCTGTAAAACACTTAATAAAAAGATGAACCTGGAAGAACACATTTGCAAAACACATCTGACAAATGACTATTAAACAGAATTTACAAAGAACCCTTAAGACTCAATAATAATAAAAAGTAAGCAACCCAATTTAAAAAAAACATAAAACAGTGGTCAAAAGATCTCAAAAGACATCTCACCTAAGACAATATATATACACAGGAAATAAGTGAATGAAATTATGTCGTAGGGAATTACAAATTAAGACAATGAACTATCACATATACCTACTTGACAAGCTAAAATCCAAAACACCGACACGACCAAATGTTGAAGATAATTTTAATTTCACTACCCTAATTTTATAGTCCTAAAAACGTGTAAGTTATCCTAAAGGAGGTGTTGCCTTGGTCACCTGGTGTTGGGGTATGATCACTCCCCAACTGAAGGGAACCACTTGGGAATTTCTCTATGAACAGAGCAAATATGAACATGCCAACACTTTTAAACTAGCAGTTAACACCTAGTACACAGACATCCTCTGCTGTTCTGGAGAAGAATGTGTTTTAGAAATGAAGGATTAATTTAACTTGGAATAAGTACATAGAAGCCTTAGGAACCTCTGTGAAGTCTCCTAAAAAGTATTAGTCTCAGTACAACAGCATCCATTTTGGGGAAAAATTAAAAAGTTCAGAGGGGAAATTTCAAAATAATTTTCTCAAACTCAAGACCTAAGTTTATGTTGTTGTTGTTGTTGTTGTTGTCGTTGTTGCCAGGTTCCGTGGCTCATACTTGTAATCCCAGCACTTTGGGAGTCCAAAGAATGTGGTTCACTTGAGCCCAGGAGTTCCAGACCAGCCTGGGCAACATGGCAATACTCTATCTCCACAAAAAATAAAAATAAAAAAATTAGCCAGATGTGGTGGCACACACCTGTACTCCCAGCTACTCTGGTGGCTGAGGTGGGAGAATCGCTTGAGCCCAGGAGGGCGAGGTTGCAGTGAGCTGAGATCCTACTACTGCACTGCAGCCTGGACAACAAATACCTTGTCTCAAAAAAAATGAATATTTTTTAAATTTTGAATCTAGAATATTTGATTTCTGAGCTGTTTAACTCAACAGAAAATAATTGTAGAAGAGTTTGAAGAAAAGGAATTTGGAAACTCAAAGGAGAATGAATTAACCTCAGAAAACAAGTAATTGATAAAATGTCTAGACATATTTTAGCTGATAAAATCTGCTAATAAAAATGTTTTTTTTTTTCAGTATGCTTGGCTATTAGTTACAGTCCATGCTGATCAAACATCATAGGTTGCTGTATTTTGGATCTTACTACCCTTTTACCTCTTTCTTACAAATCACAGCAGATTGAACTAGCATTGGCATTTGAATTTGTGCAGTTAGTCCACAGATTTTCCATGTAAGTTTAGTCCACCCAATTCAAAAGCAAGTCTGTTCAGAGTTCCTCTTTGAATTCTGAACAGGCTGGAAGGAGGAAGAAGAAGCTTATAGGATATTGGAAAGAGAATCTGCATCTTAAAAACTGAAACCTATTTGAAAGCAGACATTTTGGGAGAACAGATAGTCAATAGCAAATAAAAAGTGAGTTAATACAAAAAAATCATGTCCCAGCTCAGATAATACCAGAGATGACAGGAGTCTGCTCTTCCAAAATCTGAGCTACTAACGAATTTCTAATTTTTCCTGGAGTCTACAAGGGCCCTTATTATTGATCAGCTTTTACCAAAATATGATAAATCATGTTTTTAATAATGCTATGGGACTGACTGGACCCATCGCATTGTTCATTATCTCTAAAATGCCAATTACAATTTTATTATGACATTCAGGAAATAAAATAACTAAATGCTGCCCGCCATTCTTTCATGACAATAGCCATATGAAACATGGACATTCACCAGAGAAGCCTTGCAGAATTGCACGATAAATAGTAGGCAGAAATACAATGTCTGGTTGTTTGGGATAAAGGGTAAGGTGAGAACTTTTAGTATTATAAAAGTATTAACAGATTACTAACTAGGTATTAATAGATGATTGCAAACCTTACGAAGATGTGAACAGATAAATCTGGTCAACAACAAGGTCTTAATTTCGCAAATTTAGGGTCAAAACTGAAGAGTTAAGGAAAGTACAAGAGACGCTACACCCAAATGTGCAGACTATCAATTTTACTTTGCTTTCATTTGAAGACAGATTTCTATTGATCTATCTTCCCATTCACTAGTCCTGCCATCATTCCTGAAAGCAAAAACTTTCTACTTATGTTTGAAGATGAGGAAATTTGAAAAATAGTTATTTGCAATCTCCAAATGTGTGGGCAGTGTTTGTATATTTTTTAGCTTAACTTGTGAGCTATCAGACAGTATATAGATCATCTCTTTTCTTCCAAAAAGAAATCCTCCATCTATTATGATATGTGCATGGTAGTGAAAAATCAATGAGGTTTTAATGTGTGCTGGCTGCTGACATCCTAGGAACTGCAAGAGGAAGGGGCCCCATATCTCATTGTGTAGATTTTCACTTATTCTCTTACACACTTGTGAAATAAGAACATCTTGGGCTCCTTCACACTGGAAGCTGCTCGTGGCAAATGTGTCTTTCATTCTATTCAAAGTTATCCCTGTGCTCACTGAGATAGATGCATACCTGATTGCATCCTTTGAAAAAGCTAATCAGAAACTCAAATATTGATTGATGTCTCACGTCTCCCTAAAATGTATAAAACTAAGCTGTGCCCCAGCCACCTTGGGCACATGTCATCAGGATTTTCTGATTCTGTGTCATGGGTGCATGTCCTCAACCTTGGCAAAATAAACTTTCTAAATTAACTGAGATCTATTTCAAATTTTGGGGGTTCACATTTTTGGTAACCACAGAAGGATTCTGAGTGGAGATGCCCTGACCTTTGACAAATCTCCTATCAAAGCTTGGTCCCAGCATGAGCTAACTTTATGGGTCAAACCAATAGGACAATTTGCTGAGTCTGAGAGAACCCACTCCAGGGAATCCCTGATTTCCCAAAATTTGGTTGAGATCTAAAGTTTATTTTACTGTAAAACTCTTCTTTTGTTGGAGTTTTACTTGCTTCCTGAAAGGTTGTTGTATCGGTTCAAACCCCTAGAGCACGCCAACAGACAACATAAGGCAATGTGGAGCAACAAGCTCTTTTAATGAGTGCCTGGGTGCAGGCAGGCTGAGGCCTAAAATGGCATCAATCCCAAGTGAGGACAGGGCAGCGGTTTTATAATCTCCTGTAAACAGGAAGTGTCCCCGTCTGACGTAACTGCTACGTAGTACCCAGACGACCTCTTTCCCAATCTTCAGGGGTACTTGTCTTCCAGACAGAGTAGGTGTCTTCTGGTCAGGGTACCTGTGTCCTGGCTAGCTCTCTTCCTGTTTCTGCTATCTTGCTGGTGCATGCTGCTAGTGCAGATAGCCTTGCACCTTGGGACTGGGCCTGAAAAGGGAGGAGTTATTCATCCCCCTAAGTTTTCAGGCCTTGGGGAGAATCTTTCATTCTTGTCTATTTGGCTATAGAAAAGGGAAAAGGAAAAAACTTTCTCAACAACTACTTCAGGCCTGACATAGGGGTGGTGTGGACATCTCGGAAAAAGAAGAGCTTAATTTTGGGGATATTCTTGAGAGACCAGTTGGTATCCATTGTGTCGTTGTAGGAGGAGCATCGTCTGGATTGTCTTGCAGTTAAATGTAGTTTCAACAAGAGTTTTAATGGCTTTTATTATTAGTGGGATAACTCAGGGGAGAAACAGGAGGAACCCATTGATAAAGATTACTGTCCCTACCTGCATTTTAAATCCTCCTAAATTAGAGAACCACCCTCCTAGAAGATTTGCTGGGTCCCATCCCTTCCAGGTTTGGACTAGTACATGGGCTACTTTTCTGATGTTTAAAGTGATATCTAGAACCACTTTTCTGTTATCATCTATGTTAAGACAGCAATTAGAGATATTAAATTTATCACAGACCCCACCTTCTTCTGCTAATAAGTAGTCTAGTGCTAACCTATTTTGATAAATTGCTGTGCCCATTTGGTTTTGTTGTTGCACGAGCATTTCCAGGGCCAAGGCGGTTTGGCTAGTGACTATCTCTAGAACCATCTGTGATTATTCTATTAAGCATGTATATGGGAGTGCAATAACCTCATGAGCCATCCTCAGCCCAAGTGGCAGGACAATAATATTCAATAATCCCTTGAGAAGACCATTCATCCTCTTGCCATCTTTGGCTTTCTCCTACCTTTAAAGATCATTTTTTCTTTGTTTAGGTTATATACAGGGACTCTGAGGGTGTTATCCACTGTTAATGTTTTGGAGGAAGGAGTAGCCTTGGGGATGAGCTGGACCCTGGTGTGATGGACTCAGTGAGGGAGTCCTTAGACTCTCACTGCAGTTGGTGTGCTGAGTATCACAGTGTAGGGGCCTGTCCACTTCGGTTGTAGCTTTTGGTGAGTGTTGAGTTGGCAAATAAACATGTCTGTGCCTGCAAGACAGTTATGTTGAGAGGACAAGGAGGTGTCAACAGGGAGAGGCATGGCCTCATTTGCTGCTTCAAGAGTGAAAGACCATGTCTGGATTAAGGAGGGGAGGTAATTTCTGAGTGGCTCAAAGTCTGGTGAGGGTGAAGGCCCTAAGACAAAAGTTTGGCCACACATGATTTCAAAGGGACTATAAAAAGAGGGTGTTTTGGTTGTTGCATGAAGTCTCATGAGTGTGAAAGGGAGATTTTTTTGTCCATGACTGGTGGGTTTCTAGAGCTAGCTTGGTGAGTTGAGCTTCAAGGACAGAGTTGACCTTTCTAACTTTGCCTGAAGATTGAGGCCTGTAGGGTGTGTGGAGAACTGATTTTATTACCAGGGATGTAGAGATACATTGGGTAATTAGGCTGATAAAAGGCGGGCCCGTTATTGGATTGGATGCATGTTAGGAGTCCAAAATGGGGAATTATATACACAATGAGAGTTTGTGTGATGACTTTTGTACCTTCTGAAGTTGTTGGGAACACTTCTATCTACCCAAAGAAAATACAGACAAAGACTGGAAGATAAAGGGCCATTTATTGGGCAGCATGTCAGTGAAGTCTACTTGCCTATCTTGCCCGGATACCTGGCCCCAGGTTTGGTGGGTAGGAAAAGGTGGCAGCTGGAGGAAGCCCTGGGGTGATACTGAGTGGCAGATACAGTAGTAATCTATAAACCAAGTAAAGGAGGCATCTGAAAGGGGTTGGTCTGTTAGGTTTGGAAAAAGCATAAGAACAGTGTTCACACAGAAGTGTGTATGGTCTTGGGTGGTTGCAGCTTTAGGTAAGAGCGTGGCCAGGTTTGGATGGGAGCTGGTTAGTATGGTGATTTGGGGAGTTTCAGTGAATACAGGATACAGTTGAAGGAGCCGTGGAGCAGAGATAAGACTTAGTACACTGAGGTGAGCTAACATGTCTTTGATTTTATGAGTTGAATAAACTGTTAGGTTGGCATGGAGAGATAGTTTTAAGCTTTCAAGGATGAGGACAGCAGCGGTGGCTAATGATTGGAGACAGGCAGGCCATCTAACACTATGGCTTCAAGCTGTTTAGAGAGGTAGGCAACAACCTGGAGGGTGGGTCCCTTAGACTTGGTTAGAACACTTAGTGAAACTCCATGCCGTTCATCAGTATATAGAGAGAAAGGATTGGTGAGGTCTTGGAGAGTGAGGATGGGGGCTGAGATGAGAGCCTTCTGGAGTAGATGGAAAGGTTGGGTAATAGGCTGTGTGGGGTTTAAAGGCTCTTGGAGAGGGCCTTTAGCAGCTTGGTGTAACAGTTTGGCAAGTAGAGCGAAGGAGGGAAACCAGAGCCCAAAATATCCCACTAGTCCTAGAAAAGAGAGAATTTCTTGCTCAGTTTGTGGAGGCAGGAGGTACTGGAGGAGGGATATGCAGTTAGTTGTGAGCCTTAGGTCCGTGGGGTAAGAGCTAGGTCTAGATAGGTGACTGAGGGGGTGCATATTTGTGCTTTCTTAGGGGAGACTCGATACCCCCGTTCTTCCAAGAAGTTTAAAAGAAAGAATGGGCATTGCAGTCTCTTTGAGAGGGGCTACACAGGAGCAGATCATTAACATATTGGAGAGGGGACAGTTTTAGGGATAAGGTACAGAGGTCACAAGCAAGGGTCTGCCCAAAATGGGGGGGGCTGGCTCTGAAACTTTAAAATAGTGCACACCAGGTGAGCTGACATGAAAGGTGAGTGTTGGGGTTTTCCCATATAAAGGCAAAGAAGTTTTGGGAATCAGGGTGTAAAGTAACTGTGAAAAAGGCATCTTTTATGTCTAGGACAGAAAACTGGGTGGTATTGGAGGGAGTCATGGAAAGTAAAGTGTATGGGTTAGGAACTACTGGACATACTGGGAGTACGGCTTAGTAATGAACCTGAGATCCTGGACTAAGCGATAAGTTCCATCTGGCTTTTTGACAGGTAGAATTGGTGTGTTAAAAGGGGAGTCTGTTGGGCAGAGTAGGTGACTGGAAAGGAGGCAAGAAATGATAGGCTTTAGGCCTACAAGCTCTGCTTGGGGGATTGGATACTGCTTCTGTGATAGGAACTGGGTGAAATCTTTAAGGGTAATGTGAATGGGGGTGTGGTGTTTCGTTACTGAGGGTGTTGAAGTATCCCAAACAGCAGGGTTAATTACAGATCGGGAATAAAGAAAGGTTGCATGTTTTAAGGGGGGAGGTTGGAGGAGTAGAAGAAAGTTAGGAGCCCCAGAGGGGTCAGGGTTGATGCATTGGGTACTATTGGGAACATGGAAGTGGTGAGTAGTGTGGAGTTTTGAAAGGATGTCTCTGTCTAGGAGTGGAGTTGAACATGAGGGCAGGACTAAGAAAGAGTGAGTGAAGAAAACGATGTGAAAGGGGCAGAAGATTGGAGGGGTGGCTCGGTTTTGGAGACTTGTCCATCAATTCCCACAACAGAGACTTAGAAGTAGTGGATGGGTCTTGAAAAAATTAGCTAAAGCAGAGTAGTTTCCCCTGGTATTAACTAAAAAAACATACTGGCCTACCTGCCACCATGAGGGTTACCCTTGGCTTGGATGTGGCAATGGTAGTTGCTGGGACATCCATTCCAGGGCACCACCAGTCTTCAGGAGCAAGGCAGATAAGATGCTAGTAGGAAGTTTTGGCCAGATCAGGAAGGGATGGGGGTGGTCCTTGTGGGGGCCACTCACAGTCCAAATTGCAGTGGGGTCCTCCACAGAGGGGGCATGGCCTGGAGGGTTTACCTGGATGTGGGTATTGTGTGGACCAGTGGCCTTCATTGCCGCACTTGAAACAGGTACCAGGTGGAGGTGGATTGCTAGGAGGCTTCCATGTGGAGCTGCGGCCCGGTGGACCTGCAGGGACCCTGATGATGGAGGCAAGCATTTGAAACTCTGCCTGATTTTGCCTTTTGCTTTCCTCATCATGATAGTTAGACTTTGAAGGCTAAATTAAGAAGGTCTCAATGTGGGTTTTCTTTTTTTTTATTATACTTTAAGTTTTAGGGTACATGTGCACAATGTGCAGGTTAGTTACATAGGTACACATGTGCCATGCTGGTGTGCTGCACCCATTAACTCATCATTTAGCATTAGGTATATCTCCTAAAGCTATCCCTCCCCCCTCCCCCCACCCCACAACAGTCCCCAGAGTGTGATGTTCCCCTTCCTGTGTCCATGTGTTCTCACTGTTCAATTCCCACCTATAAGTGAGAATATATGGTGTTTGGTTTTTTGTTCTTGTGATAGTTTGCTGAGAATGATGATTTCCAATTTCATCCATGTCCCTACAAAGGACATGAACTCATCCTTTTTTATGGCTGCATAGTATTCCATGGTGTATATGTGCCACCTTTTCCTAATCCAGTCTATCATTGTGGACATTTGGGTTGGTTCCAAGTCTTTGCTATCGTGAACAGTGCTGCAATAAACATACATGTGCATGTGTCTTTATAGCAGCATGATTTATAGTCCTTTGAGTATATACCCAGTAATGGGAAGGCTAGGTCAAATGGTATTTCTAGTTCTAGATCCCTGAGGCATCGCCACACTGACTTCCACAATGCCTGAACTAATTTACAGTCCCACCAACAGTGTGAAAGTGTTCCTATTTCTCCACATCCTCTCCAGCACCTGTTGTTTCCTGACTTTTTAATGATTGCCATTTTAACTGGTGTGAGATGGTATCTCACTGTGGTTTTGATTTGCATTTCTCTGATAGCCAGTGATGGTTAGCATTTTTTCGTGTGTTTTTTGGCTGCATAAATGTCTTCTTATGAGAAGTGTCTGTTCATGTCCTTTGCCCACTTTTTGATGGGGTTGTTTGTTTTTTTCTTGTAAATATGTTTGAGTTCATTGTAGATTCTGGATATTAGCCCTTTGTCAGATGAGTAGGTTGTGAAAATTTTCTCCCATTTTGTAGGTTGCCTGTTCACTCTGATGGTAGTTTCTTTTGCTGTGCAGAAGCTCTTGAGTTTAATTAGGTCCCATTTGTCAATTTTGGCTTTTTTTGCCATTGCTTTTGATGTTTTAGACATGAAGTCCTTGCCCATGCCTATGTCCTGAATGGTAATGCCTAGGTTTTCTTCTAGGGTTTTTATGGTTTTAGGTCTAACGTTTAAGTCTTTAATCCATCTTGAATTGATTTTTGTATAAGGTGTAAGGAAGGGATCCAGTTTCAGCTTTCTACATATGGCTAGCCAGTTTTCCCAGCACCGTTTATTAAATAGGGAATCCTTTCCCCATTGCTTGTTTTTCTCAGGTTTGTCAAAGATCAGATAGTTGTAGATATGCGGTGGTATTTCTGAGGGCTCTGTTCTGTTCCATTGATCTATATCTCTGTTTTGGTACCAGTACCATGCTGTTTTGGTTACTGTAGCCTTGTAGTATAGTTTGAAGTCAGGTAGTGTGATGCCTCCAGCTTTGTTCTTTTAGCTTAGGATTGACTTGGCGATGCTGACACTTTTTTGGTTCCATATGAACTTTAAAGTAGTTTTTTCCAATTCTGTGAAGAAAGTCATTTGTAGCTTGATGGGGATGCCATGAATCTATAAATTACCTTGGGCAGTATGGCCATTTTCACGATATTGATTCTTCCTACCCATGAGCATGGAATGTTCTTCCATTTCTTTGTATCCTCTTTTATTTCCTTGAGCAGTGGATTGTAGTTCTCCTTGAAGAGGTCCTTCACATCCCTTGTAAGTTGGATTCCTAGGTATTTTATTCTCTTTGAAGCAATTGTGAATGGGAGTCCACTCATGATTTCGCTCTCTGTTTGTTATTGGTGTATAAGAATGCTTTGATTTTTGTACACTGATTTTGTATCCTGAGACTTTGCTGAAGTTGCTTATCAGCTTAAGGAGATTTTGGGCTGAGACAATGGGGTTTTCTAGATATACAATCATGTCATCTGCAAACAGGGACAATTTGACTTCCTCTTTTCCTAATTGAATACCCTTTATATCCTTCTCCTGCCTATTTGCCCTGGCCAGAACTTCCAACACTATGTTGAATAGGAGTGGTGAGAGAGGGCATCTCTTTCTTGTGCCAGTTTTCAAAGGGAATGCTTCCAGTTTTTGCCCATTCAGTATGATATTGGCTGTGGGTTTGTCATAGATGGCTATTATTATTTTGAGATATGTCCCATCAATATCTAATTTATTGGGAGTTTTTAGCATTAAGGTTGTTGAATTTTGTCAAAGGCCTTTTCTGCATTTATTGAGATAATCATGCGGGCCTTTTCTGCATCTACTGAGATAATCATGCGGTTTTTGTCTTTGGTTCTGTTTATATGCTGGATTACATTTATTGATTTGTGTATATTGAACCAGCCTTGCATCCCAGGGATGAAGCCCACTTGATCATGGTGGATAAGCTTTTTGATGTGCTGCTGGGTTCAGTTTGCCAGTATTTTATTGAGGATTTTAGCATCAATGTTCATCAAGGATATTGGTCTAAAATTCTCTTTTTTGGTTGTGCCTCTGCCCAGCTTTGGTATCAGGATGATGCTGGCCTCATAAAATGAGTTAGGGAAGATTCCCTCTTTTTCTATCGATTGGAAGAGTTTCAGAAGGAATGGTACCAGTTCTTCCTTGTGCCACTGGTAGAATTCAGCTGTGAATCCATCTGGTCCTGGACTTCTTTTGGTTGGTAGGCTATTAATTATTGCCTCAATTTCAGAGCCTGTTATTGGTCTATTCAGAGATTCAACTTCTTCCTGGTTTAGTCTTTGGAGGGTGTACGTGTCAAGGAATTTATCCATTTCTTCTAGATTTTCTAGTTTATTTGCGTAGAGGTGTTTGTAGTATTCTTTGATGGTAGTTTTTATTTCTATGGGATCGGTGGTGATAACCCCTTTATCATTTTTTATTGTGTCTATTTGATTCTTCTCTCTTTTCTTCCTTATTAGTCTTGCTAGTGGTCTATCAATTTTGTTGATCTTTTCAAAACACCAGCTCCTGGATTCATTGATTTTTTTGAAGGGTTTTTTGTGTCTCCATTTCCTTCAGTTCTGCTCTGATCTTAGTTATTTCTTGCCTTCTGCTAGCTTTTGAATGTGTTTGCTCTTGCTTCTCTCGTTCTTTTAACTGTGATGTTAATGTGTCAATTTTAGATCTTTCCTGCTTTCTCCTGTGGGCATTTAGTGCTATAAGTTTCCCTGTACATACTGCTTTGAATGTTTCCCAGACATTGTGGTATGTTGTGTCTTTGTTCTCGTTGGTTTCAAAGAACATCTTTTTTTCTGCGTTCATTTCGTTATATACCCAGTAGTCATTCAGGAGCAGGTTGTTTAGTTTCCACGTATATGAGCAGTTTTGAATGAGTTTCTTAATCCCGAGTTCTAGTTTGATTGCACTGTAGTCTGAGAGACAGTTTGTTATTATTTCTCTTTTTTTACATTTGTTGAGGAGAGCTTTACTTCCAACTATGTGGTCAATTTTGGAATAAGTGTGGTGTGGTGCTGAGAAGAATGTATATTCTGTTGATTTGGGGTGGGGAGTTCTGTGGAAGTCTATTAGGTCCACTTGGTGCAGAGCTGACTTCAATTCCTGGATATCCTTTTTAACTTTCTGTCTCGTTGATCTGTCTAATGTTGACAGTGGGGTGTTAAAGTCTCCCATTATTATTCTGTGGGAGTCTAAGTCTCTTTGTAGGTCACTCAGGACTTGCTTTATGAATCTGGGTGCTCCTGTGTGGGGTGCATATATATTTAGGATAGTTAACTCTTCTTGTTGAATTGATCCCCTTACCATTATGTAACGGCCTTCTTTGTCTCTTTTGATCTTTGTTTGTTTAAAGTCTGTTTTATCAGTTACTAAGATTGCAACCTCTGCCTTTTTTTGTTTTCCATTTGCTTGGTAGATCTTCCTTCATCCTTTTATTTCTTGCCTATGTGTGTCTCTGCACGTGGGATGGTTTTCCTGAATACAGCACACTGATGGTCTTGACTCTTTATCCAATTTGCCAGTCTGTGTCTTTTAATTGGAGCATTTAGTCCATTTACATTTAAAGTTAATAGTGTTATGTGTGAATTGGATCCTGTCATTATGATGTTAGCTGGTTATTTTGCTCATTAGTTGATGCAGTTTCTTCCTAGCCTCGATGGTCTCTACAATTTGGCATGATTTTGCAGTGGCTGGTGCCGGTTTTTTCTTTCCATGTTTAGTGCTTTCTTCAGGAGCTCTTTTAGGGCAGTCCCGGTGGTAACAAAATCTCTCAGCATTTGCTTCTCTGTAAAGTATTTTATTTCTCCTTCACTTATGAAGCTTAGTTTGGCTGGATATGAAATTCTGGGTTGAAAATTCTTTTCTTTAAGAATGTTGAATATTGGCCCCCACTCTCTTCTGGCTTGTAGAGTTTCTGCCAACAGATCCGCTGTTAGTGTGATGGGCTTCCCTTTGTGGGTAACCCAACCTTTCTCTCTGGCTGCCCTTAACCTTTTTTCCTTCATTTCAACTTTGGTGAATCTGACAATTATGTGTCTTTGAGTTGCTCTTCTCGAGGAGTATCTTTGTGACATTCTCTGTATTTCCTGAATCTGAATGTTGGCCTGTCTTGTTAGATTGGGGAAGTTCTCCTGGATAATATCCTGCAGAGTGTTTTCCTACTGGGTTCCATTCTCCCCATCACTTTCAGGTACACCAATCAGATGTAGATTTGGTCTTTTCACGTTGTCCCATATTTCTTGGCAGCTTTGTTCATTTCTTTTTATTCTTTTTTCTCTAAACTTCCATTCTCACTTCATTTCATTCATTTCATCTTCCATCGCTGATACCCTTTCTTCCAGTTGATCGCATCGGCTCCTGAGGCTTCTGCATTCTTCACATAGTTCTTGAGCCTTGGTTTTCAGCTCCATCAGCTCCTTTAAGCACTTCTCTCTATTGGTTATTCTAGTTATACATTCGTCTAAATTTTTTTCAAAGGTTTTAACTTCTTTGTCTTTGGTTTGAATTTCCTCCTGTAGCTCAGTGTAGTTTGATCATCTGAAGCCTTCTTGTCTCAACTCGTCAAAGTCATTCTCCATCCAGCTTTGTTCTGTTGCTGGTGAGGAGCTGTGTTCCTTTGGAGGAGGAGAGGCACTCTGATTTTTAGAGTTTCCAGTTTTCTTCTCTGTTTTTTCCCCATCTTTGTGGTTTTATCTACCTTTGGTCTTTGATGATCGTGACGTACAGAGGGGTTTTTGGTGTGAATGTCCTTTCTGTTTGTTAGTTTTCCTTCTAACAGACAGGACCCTCAGCTGCAGGTCTGTTGGAGTTTGCTAGAGGTCCACTCCAGACCCTGTTTGCCTGGGTATCAGCAGAGATGGCTGCAGAACAGCGGATTTTCATGAATCGCGAATGCTGCTGTCTGATCTTTCCTCTGGAAGTTTTGTCTCAGAGGAGTACCCGGCCATGTGAGGTGTCAGTCTGCCGCTACTGGGGAGTGCCTCCCAGTTAGTCTGCTCAGGGGTCAAAGGTCAGGGACCCACTTGAGGAGGCATTCTGCCTGTTCTCAGATCTCCAGCTGCGTGCTGGGAGAACCACTGCTCTCTTCAAAGCTGTCAGACAGGGACATTTAATTCTGCAGAGGTTACTGCTGTCTTTTTGTTTGTCTGTGTCCTGCCCCTAGAAGTGGAGCCTACAGAGGCAGGCAGGACTCGTTTAGCTGTGGTGGGCTCCACCCAGTTCGAGCTTCCCGGCTGCTTTGTTTACCTAAGAAAACCTGGGCAATGGCGGGCGACCCTCCCCTACCCTCACTGACGCCTTGCAGTTTGATCTCAGACTGCTGCGCTAGCAATCAGCAAGATTCGATGGGCATTGGACCCTCTGAGTCCAGTGTGGGATATAATCTCCTGGTGCACCATTTTTTAAACCCATCAGAAAAGTTCAGTATTAGGGTGGGAGTAACCTGATTTTCCAGGTGCCATCTGTCACCTCTTTCTTTGAATAGGAAAGGGAACTCCCTGACCCCTTGTGCTTCCTGAGTGAGGCAATTCTTTGCCCTGCTTCGGCTCATGAATGGTGCCCTGCACCCACTATCCTGCGCCCATTGTCTGGCACTCCCCAGTGAGAAGAACCCGGTACTTTAGATGGAAATGCAGAAATCACCCATCTTCTGCGTCACTCATGCTGGGAGCTGTAGACCGGATCTGTTCCTTTTTGGCCGTCTTGGCTGCCATCCATAACTTTTAATCTTGTGGCTTTAGGCAGTCTCATCCACAGACAGTAAGGAGATTTGCTTTGGGAAAATACCGTTATTATCTTTGTTGCAAAACTAAACTATAAACTAAGTTCCACTCGAAGTCCAGAAATAAACAAGGACAGCTTAGATGTTAGAAGCAAGGTAGAGTCAATTAGGTAATATGTTTTTCACTGTCTCAGTTATCCTTTTGCAATGGTGATTTCATAACTTTAAATCATGACTATGACAGTTTTCATAAATAATACAGGTAAACAAAATAAAATAATTTTGTGAATGTAATGGGATAAATACTTGTAGACAAACGTGTCATAATTTAGAACCTAAAATTATATTACATAATAGATATTTTATTATTTGAGTATTTTCCAATAAATATATATTTTAGGAAAACATTCTTGCAAAAAAAAAGTGTGTCCTTTTTAAAAAAAAGAAGAACCAATTTTGTCTAATTCAAAGCTTATTTCAAGGTTATGTATAAAACAGGCAGGGCTTGCTTGTCTGACATAATGTAAAAGTGTCTAGGAACATGTCCTGGGTCCAGGGTCTAAAACCTCTTGTGGCCTATGGAACACCAAGCTCTGTGCCAAAAGTTGGAAGGCTGCCCTTCCACACTACAATCTAAACCCAGGGCATAAAACACCTTGTGGCTTGGAGAGAGCCCAGGGCACAGGGCATAAAACCTCTTGTAGCCTCTGGAATGTGTCCAAACTCACTGGACCCTTGCTCCTTGCTCTCCCAAGATCATAAATTGATTGTATCTTGAATTAGAAGAACCTGTTCTCCCTTATTTCAAGTAGCAGAAAATATGCTAAACCGTCACAGCTACGCTTGATGCACCACTACCTTTCTATCCTCACATCCTCACTTGTCTACCCCCACATCTGAACGTGCTCACCACATGCTTCTTTGTTTGATTACCAATAAATATTGTGAGCTCCCAGAGCTTGGGGCCTTCACAGCCCCCAAACTGACGTTGGCCCCCTGGACCCACTCTATGTACTCTTAACTTGTCTTGTCTCATTTCTTTGACTCCGCCAGACTTGGTAGTCCCCATGACATGGTGGTGGGTCTTATCACTCCAACATAAAGGAACCACGAAGAAAGAAAGATGTAAAGAAAGTTATAAAAATAAGGAGATATTTTGTGATTTGTGTGTGTCTGTGTGTTAAGAAAACTTACAGAAATAATTTTATATGACAAAAATCTTATATGCTAAATTTAGTCCTAAAATAAAATGACTGGTTGTTTAAGAAGAAGGGATGTTCGGGACAAACCAGAAATACCAAGTATGTCATGAACAGTCAGTGTAAATCACAATAAGAGGATTTATTTTTAAAAAATTAGCAGATCAAGTAGTCATATAATGATTAAGTTTTGGTTTGCTTATAAACAAACCTGAAATTTTTTTTAAATTAAGGTTATTACATCCATGTATCTTCCTGTATAAGTTTCTAAAGTCCTTTTTACATTGAGTTACAGGGATTTGACTCCTGAGTCTAAAAAGAACACCAAGACATGCTAAATCTTAAACAGCGACAAAAATTAAAGCCTCACCTTCAGACCTCATAGAAGATACCAATCAAAATAAACTGCATTGCTAAGACACAGGGCCAAAAATTAAACTCATTCAACTCCTCAAGGCCCGGGGACTTTCATGGAAGAGGTGGGCATGTGAGATTTTAAGGGCTGATTTTCAGAGACCAAATAGGTTGAGGTTCTCTATAAATCAGTCATTAACGTCAAAGGCACACTCATGCAAGAACAGCATATGGATCTCTGTGTCAGATTAACAAGGTTTTCTTCAAGGATTAGCCAACTTTTTAATAAAGGTGATAAAGGTTATTAAAAACTTATGGGAGTTATATTTTATAATCAAGATTAAATTTTATAGATTGTTTACAAAATTTTGAAAAACATTTAATTGGCTTCATGTTGTTTTTATTAGGGATTCTTGTTAGGAAAATTAAGTCTCCTCTCTCATACAATGTAGGTTTTTGCTTTTTTTGGAAATTATTGAGTTATCACTTTGGTTACATGAATGAATTTACAATGACCTGTAATCCTATTTTGAGATATGAAGTGTTTTAAACTTTTATATTTGATGAATGTTCCAAAATAAAATTATAAATTATATCTTTTTTTGATCTGACTAATTTTTTAAGATATTAGTTTCCCTAAAGTCCAAAAATGATATATTTGGCTTATTTGGTATAAAAATTATATGGAAGCATTTTCAAATATGAAATGGTGTTTGCTTTTCTTTGGGCTGTATTTATATCAATATGTTATAGGCATGTGTTTTAAAATTATGGCAAAGTCCTGTAATTCTGATATGACTTAGTGTATATTATCTGTAATAATCATAACTATTATGTTAAAATTACCATGTGCCTTAGGAGTAACAAATTTTCTTGTCAATTGTATGTTTGACTAATGGCTGCCTTAAAACTTTTTTTCGTTCATGGACACTTGTTGTCTTGTTTTGGTCCTCTTTAAAAGGTTGTTTTATAATCAACTATAAAACTCTAACAGGTGCTAGTGAATGGAGTTTTCTAACAACTTTGGAAATTGTGACATCAGAATAGAGGAAAAACTTTCAGGGATCATGGAGTGCTAAAATATTCATGACTATCAAGCAGAACAGGAATTAACTACATCGACTGAACCAATCTATTAGACTTTTTGCCTAAAGTGTTTGCTAATCCTGTGTTTTGTCTTTGAGGTCTTAAAAATTTTCTTTGGAGCTAGTAACAGCTTTTAACAATTTAGTATACTCCTATGAAAAAATTTGGAGCATATTTGTTCCTCTCTAACTAATTTCTCCAGAATTTGGAAACTATTTGTGTGTAGTCTTAATTTATGGCAGTACAGTTATTTACATAAGTGTAATAAGCATCTGTTTTCATTTATAACATGACACGATTGGAGTAACTGGTTATTTTACCAAGGTTTTAACTGGAATGGTGCCTGTTTCTTTAAGGAATCAAACTTGACTTAAGGAGCCAATAAATCCGCTTGGGAAACTGGCCTTATATCACCTTTGTCCACACAGTTTCTGTACAGGGTTCTTAACATGTGGTAAGAATGTCACTTTCTGACATGTTGACAAGCCCCAAGTTTATCTTGGAACCTCAAGAGTAGAGGATCACCCAACTCATAGATGTTTGATGGCACAAATCCTTGGCTGGCCTCAGTTTTTAAAAAGTCTCACCTGAAATTTCTTCTATGGAACTAAGTTCCATCAAAGCCAATTTAAAAGCATTTGTAAAAGAATAATTATTCTTCCTGCACTATATACAAATAATCAGGCCAAATGTAGTAAAGCAAACCAGTCCCCAAAATTAGAAGGGATCAATTAGGACCATAAAGTCATTTTACAAAAAGAATAATTACATGACTACAACACAAACTGTGAGAGTCTTCCTAAGATCAAGAACTCTTTCAGAAGGGTAAATTTTCTTTCTTTGTTCTGTCATGGTTTTAGAAGTATCTAGGTAAACTTATAGAAAGATTTCAGCATACAGCTCAAAAAATTGGAAGGGAGATTTCCTAGGTCATATATATTGTCTCTTGCAACATGAAGCTCCTACAATTACTGAAATATGGTACTTCCTGTTGAGTCAGGAAGAACAACTAAGTTGATCATGAGGTATGAAGAATCCAATGTGTCTAATAAAGAAAACCATTAAGAAGGGGAAAAATCCTATTGGACTGTTTATATTTAGATGGGTAAATATTAGCAGGGAATTCCAGAAGTCAACATGGAGAAGAACAGGCAAACTACAGACCTAAACCATAAGTGACACTAAGCAGGCAGGAGGACCAGAGACACAGGAGTGAATAGCACTGAAGGCAATGAGCTTTACATACTAGTTTGTATTGCATGCTGTCTTTTCTGCCACATAAAACTGACTCAACATTAACCATTGTTATTTGTTTACACTGTCTCTTTTCCCAAAGGAACTAATCCTCATGTACCAAGGCAGGATTACATTAAATCAACAATAAAAATATAATATTCTCATTGATTTCTTCTAGGTCACTCCAAACTATAAAGAAGGATTTGAAACCTTCATTTATCTTTTGTCATCTGTGATCAATTTCTTGCTCCAAAGCTTCCTCATGGCACTTTTCACTTCTGTATTCTTCAGCGTGTAAATCACAGGGTTGAGAAAAGATGTTCCAACTGTATAAAATACAGCTATCATCTTATCCATGGGGAATACGGTTGCAAGGCATGTGTACATAAATATGCAAGGTCCAAAGAACAAGATGACCACAATGATGTGGGAGACACATGTGGAAAGTGCTTTCTTTATCACTTCAGCACTGTGGTTTCTCAGAGAATGCAAGAAGATGACATAGGAGAATATTAGCATGACATAACTCACTGCACAAATGGCCCCACTATTGGAAACCAGGAGTAGGTTAACCACATAGGTTTCTGAACAGGCTTGTTTCAACAAGGGCTGCAAGTCACAGAAACAGTGATTGATCACATTGGGGCCACAGAATGGCAAACTCAGGGCAAGAAAAATCTGAACTAAAGAATGCACACAGGATCCCACCCAGGCCACAGCCATCAAAACACCACAGACCCACTGGCTTATGATGGTCATGTAGTGCAGGGGCTTACAGATGTCCACATAGCGGTCAACAGCCGTGAGGATGAGGATGAAGATCTCCAGGCAGCCAAAGACATGGGATGAAAAGACTTGGATCATGCACTCGCTGAAGGAGATAGTTGTCTTCTTCAAAAGGGCATCCACAATCATTCTAGGGGTTATGGAAGTAGAGAGGCAAGTATCAGATAAGGATAAGTAGAAAAGGAAGAAGAACATTGGGTTCTTAAGTGCCTGGCTGGTCTTGACACTAATAATGATTAGCAAATTACCCAACAGTGTTCCCAAGTAGAGACGCAAAAAAATAACAAACACTATTTTCTTCCAAAAAGGATCCTGTGTCAATCCAAGCAGAATGAACTCAGTCACATTATTATTCAGTTGCATGGTTTTCGTGAGTGAGGTGAAGGGGCAAGTGTGAAATGGTCTACCTGCAAAAAAAAAAGGAATTAATTTATGCTGTGCTATGTGATGTTATGGAATATTTTATGCAAAATTAAATATTTCTTATTGGATACATTCTGGTGGCGGTTTCTTAATAAGCCACTTCAACACTTTCTTCCAAATTTTAATGACCACTTCATAGGGTTATTATGATTCTCAAATATGCTTATGAACATGATACCTTGCTATAGCATTCTTCAAGTACAAGCCTTGGTTAGCTTTGGCATCATTCTGATTAATTTTTCCAATTCAAGGAAGGTAAATGTAAGAGGTAATGATCCATTTTAATATTAAATTTCATTTTATAATTTTCAATAAATACTGAGGGCCATTTTTTATGTTGTGTATCACTCAACATTTAAGATATATTTAGCTGCTCTTTGAGTTTTACAATATGAAGTCCTATGCCACCACCACCCTGTAGATAATATCTTATTAATACATAGTTTATACATTCCATATTCATTATATATATTTATATAGATGTTATTTATTAATACCTTGTATGCTCCACTTCTCTGCAAAATTTCTCCCAGATATTCCAGATTATAAAAAGTAAACGAAAACACTTATAGCCTCTAAATAATCTGTTGCTACCTTGATGTGTCCTTATAACATTTTGTCCTGACATATACTAATAAACAGGAATGAATGTTCTTTGAAAATTAGTTATCTCTTTAATATCCCCCTTTCTAATTTTCTTCCTTTAATTTATTGAAAGCATCCCTAGAACACACAGAGTTTCTGAGGTTACATTTAAATAAGATGAGGGTGGGGTACAGTATTACTACTCAACTGTTTGTTTTCACAATTCAAACTAAATATTAGAATCATGAAAACAAGAAAGCATTTTATAAGTGGGGTGGTTTGAAGTGTTATCATTGAACCAGATCATGTTTGTAATCCCCAGAAGAGTTTTCATTATCCTGATATTCAAAAACTGCACATTCCTGGAACAGAGCAGAGATTTGGAGGAAAGAAGGTGATGTGGTTTTAGAGAAGAGAGAGTAGATACTAAATACCTTCTTCATTCAATTTATTTTCTATCATGGAAAAGTCAGTGCTTCAACTTTGAAATGTCACTTTTCCCAGTGAAGATCAGTTTTTAAGAATATATGGAAACTAATATTATCACAAGGCTTCTCTTTCAAGAAAAATAAATTCTCTACATTTTTGTTGTCAAGATGACACTAGACAGTACATAATATGCAAGTAGAAATATAAACCAAAGTGTAATTTATTTAAATATAGTCTGGAAGCCCATTGTGTTTCTCCACTGTTTGAAATGCTTGTTCCCTGGTGTTATAAAAGAAATAGCTCTTGAACACAAATTGAATTTATTTAGAAAGGTCATTTTTTACTTCCTCCAGAAAGGGTACACTCGCCAGCAGTTTTGCCACGAGAGTACACCGAACAAAGGAGACAGGGTCATTTATAACCTGACAACTGCTGTGTCCGTTTTCCATTGGCTGGAACAGGACCTCATTCTGTATTTGTCCATATTGGCTAGCAACTCAGAAGTTTTTAAAAGAGGCAAAGGCAGAGGAGAAAAAGGAAGCAGGAAGTAACTTGTGGAATGCTGACAAAGGTAAAAACACTTTTAAATAAGAAAGAGGAACAGGCTATGACCTAATGCTTGCTTGGATCAGTATAAGCATGCCAGGGCAAATATTTAGGAGTGCAGGTCTTTAAACAAAATTTGCTTCGAAGAGAAGTTACTATTTATTCCTAATTAGATGGGGAGTAAAGTCTTTGAAGAGGAACTTCTACTTTTAGTTTTTACATCCACAATTCAATCAATACCTTCAAAACATTGGTGAAAGTTACAAGTTGGCCAAAACAGAATAAAATAGACAAAACAGACACAAAATTCCCTTTATATATACTTCTTCCTCTCTCCAGATTCCTCTCCTTCTTCTCCTCACCAGATTTGAAATATCCCTTATCTTCCTCCAAATAAAAAAAAAAATACTCCCAGGAAAGTGTCTGATGAAGTTGTTCACTTTGGTGTGCTAAGAATAAAAAAGTATATATGTATATCTTATATACATATATATTTTATATATATACACTTTATATACATATATATACTTTATATATATATCTTTTGACTCTTTGGACTCAGTAATATATATTTTATATATATGTATATATATATTTGGACTCTGTAATCTTTGAAATGTATCTTAAACTATAAGGGAACTGAGTTGGTATTTTAATTATTACAATAAGCTCATTTTTTCCTTTATTCATTTAAAAGGGTGATCCATTACAAAGTATTTGTACTTGAAAATGTGGTAGGCTTTGGAGGCCTGATAATGTAGAAGTAGTTTTCACCTCTAATACTTTATGACTTTGAGCACTCCTTTGAGGGTATAACCTTTGGTCTGTGGTCTGTATATCAGTAATCCTAGTAGACTATTCATTTCTAGGTAGTCTGTATTATTTACTTTATATATTGGGACATAAAGTTTTTTAGGTAAATTAAGGATTACAGATATGTAATGTAATTAATTTGGTAATAATTATAGGTCCTCATCAAATATTTAGTTAACAGTTTAATCAATAATCGGTATCTGTCTTCTTCCCTGGAATTCCTTTCCACTTCTATCTACTTCAACTGTTACAAAATTTCAAAACACAACTGTGAAGAAACTTCATCTAAGCAGCCTTCAAAAATTGCCTTGTGATAAAGGAAATTCTCTCTGCTGCTTTTTAAAAGACTCCCTTATTCTTTTCTTATACTGCTATATATAATTGCTTAAACTCAATTATTTGTGTATGCTTAGCTTCTATCCTAGAATAAGAATACAGGAAAGCTATGTGTTCTCTGCATATTATTCTCCACTGTACAAAACCCAATGTCTAATACAATATAGGTGTTTAGTGCCTTTTTTTTTTTGCTTTCTGTGCTATTGTCTTGATATTGCTAATAGTGCTTAGTGTTTTGTAACTGAACGTTCTTTGTTGAACTAAAAATGTAATAATAATATCTAATTATTTCAGTACTATTGTGATGGAAAGACACATCCACTTATTACTTATTGGAGATTTCTATGTATTATGAATAGCACACTGACAAATATGTTTCTCAATTAAAAAGCAAAAAAACAAACAAAAGAACCCGCTGAGATCAATTTCAGATAACTCCATGAATTAGATCCATGACCTGGAGTAGAAGATGTACTCTGCACAGCACCACATGGCCAAGAAAGAATCTGGGACTCTGACTCCCATAAAAATGATCATCTGAAGAATTTGTTGGGTTATTTTCTTTATATGAATCCTTGAATCTTTAGAGTTGCAAGGAGAGCCTCGATGTTTTTCATAGCCTTCTGATACTGAAGCACACTTTTGTGCATGTCTATGTGTATGATTCTACATCCATTTTCTTTGCAGAGTAGTGTTAACACCTTTCAACAAATTCTCAAAGGAATCAGACACAAAAGTGGGTTACAATAGTCTGGAGACAAAGTATTACCAGTAATACAGCACATGTTCTAATAACTACTGCACTCTCCACAACTCTTCAAACAAGATTAGCCCATTTTAGGATGGCTAGATACACTGGTTAAAACAATAGTAAACAAACAATGTATTGATGTTGGAGGTAACAGAGAAGAGCTAACATAAAAGCAACCAGGAAATGGTGGAGGACAGAAGGGAGTGGAATCCAGGGTTAAGAGGCTCCTTCTATGCTTCTATGTGGTATTACAGAGGCCAAGGTGAGAAGCATTGTATTCCTTAAGTAATCTCTTAAACCACTCAACCCTCCCTAAATTAGTTATACTAGACTTCTATATTTGAGATACTAGACTTCTATATTTGAGATACCATCTCACACCAGTTAGAATGGCAATCATTAGAAAGTCAGGAAACAACAGGTGCTGGAGAGGATGTGGAGAAATAGGAACAGTTTTACACTGTTGGTGGGACTGTAAACTAGTTCAACCATTGTGGAAGACAGTGTGGCAATTCCTTAGGGATCTAAAACTAGAAATACCATTTGACCCAGCCATCCCATTACTGGGTGTATACCCAAAGGATTATAAATCATGCTGCTATAAAGACACATGCCACTTTGGGAGGCTGAGGCGGGCGGATCACGAGGTCAGGAGATCGAGACCATCCCGGCTAAAACGGTGAAACCCCGTCTCTACTAAAAATACAAAAAATTAGCCGGGCGTAGTGGCGGGCGCCTGTAGTCCCAGCTACTTGGGAGGCTGAGGCAGGAGAATGGCGTGAACCCGGGAGGCGGAGCTTGCAGTGAGCCGAGATCCTGCCACTGCACTCCAGCCTGGGTGACAGAGCGAGACTCCGTCTCAAAAAAAAAAAAAAAAATACAAAAAGACACATGCACACATATGTTTATTGCAGCACTATTCACAATAGCCAAGACTTGGAACCAACCCAAATGTCCAACAATGATAGACTGGATTAAGAAAATGTGGCACATATACACCATGGAATACTATGCAGCCATAAAAAATGATGAGTTCATGTCCTTTGTAGGGACGTGGATGAAACTGGAAACCATCATTCTCAGCAAACTATCACAAGGATAAAAAACCAAACACTGCATGTTCTCACTCATAGGTGGGAATTGAACAATGAGAAAACATGGACACAGGAAGGGGAACATCACACACCGGGACCTGTTGTGGGGTGGGGGGAAGGGGGAGGTGGGAGGGATAGCATTAGGAGATGTACCTAATGTAAATGACTAGTTAATGGGTGTAGCACACTGACATGGCACATGTATACATATGTAACAAACCTGCACGTTGTGCACATGTACCCTAGAACTTAAAGTATAATAAAAATGTATATATAATATATATATAAAGAAAAAGTTTACATAAGGCTAGAAACCAAGAAAGAAACTTTATTTCTTCCTCAAACTCTTAGCATGTTCTATAAATTATAAGCACTTATTGAAGGTAGGCATCATGACTATCTTGTTCTCCACCATAGCCACCACAGTAGGCATTTATAAATCATAATTTCTAGTATACAATTAATAATGAAGAGTTTAGTAAGTGAATGAATGAATAAAACAAATGAAAGAAATTGAAAAAGAATTTGAGTCACAATATATAATTTTCTTTTCTGAAAAACCACCTCTATGGTGTTAAACAAAATAATCTCTTCTGTTTCTTTTTGAACTACACTAAGGCCACTAATTTAGAAGGCAGCAAATAGAAATGAAGTTTGATTTTGGAATAATCCCTTGCATAGATTATTACTAGTGAGACGGCCAAGTAGAAAGTGGTCCCTGAAGAACCTCCTACAAACCTGCTTACCGGGAGGAATGTGCACTGGGGTAGAGCCTCCAGAATTTTACCCCTTTGCAGGGAAGAGGAGCAGGCTGGCCCCTCCTCTTCCTGGGTGGTACCTGGGATTCAATCAGTGAGGTGGGAAGCCTATACTAGCGAGAATCTCGCTCTGCTGAGAGTCCCTGTTTCCCTTTTCTTCCCTTAAGGCCAATAAATTCCATTTTTCTCACCCTTCAAAGTGTCTAAAAGCCTAATCTCTCCTGGCAACGTGACAAGGACCCCGTTTTTAGCTGAACTAAGGAGAAAGTCCTACAACACTAGCACAATTTCCAGCACTGGGAGAGATCATGAGACATGAAATATGTTAGGTTGTCCTGCATAATAGAAATGTGTTATATTTCTTGATGTGGTGTGGAATGCAGTATCAATAAGGAGGATGCATTCAACCCTTTGCAGGACATTTGATATTTTGCTGCATAATATCTAAACAGTTTTGCAGATACATCTGACCTGTTACATAATGATGGCTGAAGGTGAGTTTTAAAAACTGCCTCAGTGGGCCCTGATTGTGCATGCCCGACAGGAATTCATCCTTCTTCTTGGATAACTCAACCCTGATATTCCTCTGAAGAATCACAACCTGCCTGTATTCAGCATATAAGGTTTGGGTAATAATATCTCTCAAGGATGGAAATACAACTCCTGTTTGATCATCAGAAAACATATCTCCAAAGCTGTAATAATAAGGTCAGGTATCCAGCAGCAAATGAAATGCAGACTTAGTACTTTTGTTGGAACTCTTAGGAAAAGTTGTTCCTTTATAAAAACTTTGTATTCGGGGGTATGTGTGCAAGTTTGTTACATGGTTATATTGTGTAATGCTGGTTCTTTTTTCCTAAAGGAGTTTCTGCAGGAGCAGACCCACAACTCCTGCCTGTAATCTTACCATGAGTAAAGAAACCCTGATCAAAAATGGAGTCAACACCAAAGAAAGCAAAAACAACAAACAAGCAGAAGAAAAGAACAACAAACAAGCAGTTCTACTAATAAGATGTCAACTAGAGTTCATGTATTTCCAGACTCCTTTATCAACTTTATATTATTGATTTTTCTACCTTTATTTAAATTGTACAAAAAATACTTGTAAACTTACTATCTATCCTCCAAATTTAAACATTACCAATGACCAAATCTATTTTAACTCCTTTCCTATCCTGCCCCCTGCCTCACTCTAAAAGTAACCAATGTCCTGATCTTTTAATGTATAATTATCTTACTCCTTAAAAGTAAGTTATCTTTCTCAGGTATCTATTTTTTATTTTTCCTTGGTTTAGACTTGTACACAATTTATCATATTATATGAAAAAACTTAAGTAGTTTTTAAAATTTTTTCCTTCAACCTTAATTTTACTAAGTTTTTTTCCATTGTTGAATGTTGTTGTTGAATTGTTTTCATTCTATACCACATTCCACTGTTATCATTTAAAAATGCGCTTATTCATTATCCTATCAGTGAATATTTGACTACTATGAACAGTGCAACTATGAACATTTTTCAATATGTCCCTAGGAATACAGTTGGCAGGAATGCATTTCAGGATGTACCAACATTTAGCTTTACAGGATAAGATTATGACATCTCCATAAGAGATACAGGAAATATGATCTCTTTATATACCAAAAGAAGAAGATCTCATTATATGCCAAAAAACCCACAAATATTCCATATACTTTTCCATATAGCTGCATTAAGAAACAGTTTTCCATATAGTGGAATATTTGTGTTTTTTTGACATATAATGAGATCTTCTTTTTTCCACTATGTGGAATATTTGTGAACAGACCCAAAAATCTCTACACTATGACTTAAAAAATTAATTTGAAGAATGCTGCATTTTGTTGTTATTGTTTTAGTTATGTACATGAATCAATTTGCAATCCAAACTACATGGACTTCTTTTTCAATGTCAATTTCAAAATGTCAATGCTTAGTCACTTGATCTGCGTCATATATTTGGACTAAAATTTCTTGAACACTAAATAGACTGTCTTTTGAGAGAAATAGTTCATTTGAGGTGTAAATATTGCTTTACTTATTAAATAGTATTACAATATGTGATCTAGAAAGTTAGATCTGAGCCATAAGATTATGTTTTTTCTATTAATGAAACCATATTTATAAGAATATTTTTTCTACCCCTACATAATGGAATCAATTAAAGATGACTCACATCTGTTTATAGTGGGGGAAATAAATACATTAATTAAAATGTTAAAATTAAGACTTGCACAGGCTAGCAGAGGCATAATAATAATTTTTTAAAAACCTTAGAATATTAGATGATGCCCTAGTTCTTTTTTTTCTAGAGTATAGCCTAGTCTCAAAAGCCTGCCCAAGTAAAGTAAGATCTGCTGTTGAAAGAATGATAATGATGTGTGTTCTCCTTCAGATTTGTTAGTTCAATACATAGATTCACCTCCAGATCCATGAGTTTTAAATGGACCTGATGCCTTCTACTGGCACACTGTTTGCAGATAATTTGCCTCAAAGTTAAAGATATCTTCATCCTATTTCATAATTTAAAATCTAATATAATTTATTCAGATAAGGTATAGAGATTGATTCCACATGTCATGTTTCTCTAGGGTGTAATGTCTTTGTGCCAGGAGCTATGATGAGGTCATGACCATGATGTGTTCTTTAGATCAGCCTTGCTTACACATTTCTTTGAACCCAACCCTGACCTCTGGCTCATGAAGCAGGAAAGGAAAAAATACATTCCCTGGGGTATATTGTAAAATGGTCAATATCTACTTCCAACATGTTCTCTTGGTCTCCAAGGCTGATGTAATGCTTTAACTATAATAGAATGTTTGTTACTGAAATCACTTCCATGCTGTTACATGCGTCCATGTGAAGAGAACACCAAACAGGCTTTGTGTGAGCAATAAACCTTTTTAATCACCTGTGTGCAGGTGGACTAAGTCCAAAAAAGGAGTCCATAAAGGGAGATGGGCATGGGGCAGTTTTATAGGATTTCGGTAGGTAATGGAAAATTGCAGTTAATGGGGGCTTTTCTCTTGTGAGCAGGGGCAACAGTCACAAGATGCTCGGTGGGGAGCTCATGAGATTCATTGTCCAGGAGAAGGAATGTCACAAGGTCAATTGATCAGTTAGGGTGGGGCAGGAACAAATCACAATGGTGGAATGTCATCAGTTAAGGCAGGAACTGACTATTTTCACTTCTTTTGTGGTTCTTCAGTTGCTTCAGGCCATCTGGATATATACATGCAGGTCACAGGGGATATGATGGCTTAGCTTGAACTCAGATACCTGACATTCCTGTCTTCTTATATTAATAAGAAAAACCAAAGAAAATAGTAGTGAAGTGTTCAGGGGGCACAAAAATTTGGAGGTGGTATGGAGAGATAATGGGTGATGTTTCTCAGGGCTCCTTTGAGTGGGATTAGTGGTGGCATGGGAACCTAGAGTGGGAGAGATTAAACTGAAGAAAGATTATGCGGTAAGGGGTGACATTGTGAGGTTGTTAGAAGGAGCATTTGTCATATAGAATGATTGGTGATGACCTGGATGAGGTTTTGTATGAACTGAGAAACTCAATGGAAGACACAATGTCAGAATAAGAGAAGAAGAAAAACAGGTATTAAAGACTAAGAATTGGGAAGATCCAGGACATCTAATTAGAGAGTGTCCAAGGGGATTCAGCATAGTTATTTGCTTGGTTGGTAAGTTTTGGGGCTCTATCCTTGAGTTATTCTATGTTGTCATATACCAGGCAAGACTGATTTAGGTCAAAACAACACTCTTCATTTAAAAATATACAGAGTCCTCCTTTATAAGTTGGAGGCTGAGCTTGGTAAGGTGTGTTTTTAAAAGACCATTAGTCCATTCTACCTTTCCTGAAGATTGAGGACAGTAAGGCGTATGAAGATTCCACTGAATACCAAGAGCCTGAGAGATGGCTTGGGTAATTTAACTAGTAAAAGCCAGACGATTGTCAGATTGAATAGAAGTAGGGAGGCCAAATCAGGAAATTATATCTGTTAGAAGGGAAGAAATGACTGAAGTAGACTTTTTGGAGCTGGTGGGAAAGGCCTCGACCCATCCGGTGAAGCTGTCAACCCAAACTAGGAGATATTTAAATTTACAAACACAGGGCACATGAGTAAAGTCAAACTGCCAATCTTGTGTTGGAGTATATCCACGAGCCTGATGCATAAGAATATGAGGAGGCCTGAGAAAGCCTTGAGGGCTTGTGGCATGGCAGACAGAGCATTGAGAGGTGATAGTCTTAAGGATGGATTTCCATGAAGCGAAGGTGATGAGGGGTGTCAGGAGGTGAGCCAGAGGCTTGTATCCAACATGGAAGTGGTCATGAAGAGAAGAAAGAATGGGTAGAGCTTGTGAGGCAGGAAAAATGAATTTTCCATAGTCTAAGAACCATTTGCCCTGAGTTGGGAAAGACTGGTAGAGCAGGTTTTCAGAAGAAGAGTAGGTAGGAGTGATAGAGGAGAAAGAAAATTACTGTCCTTCTGGAGTGGGGACTGGAATACTAGAGGGAGTGGAGGCATTAGCTATTTTTTTGCTGTCCTGTCTGCAAAGACATTTCCTTTTGCAATAACATCAATAGGTTTCTGTTGTCCTTTACAATGAATGACTCCAGCCTTGGTCGGCAGTAGAGCAGCCTTAAGGAGGTCCTTTATTGAGGAGGCATTGATAATGGAAGAGCCTTGTGTGGTAAGAAAGCCTCTTTCAGCCCAGATGGCAGCATGGTTATGGAGGATGTGGAAAGCATATATGGAGTCAGTATAAATGTTAATATACATTCCTTTAGTGAGAGAGAGTGCACGAGTTAAGGCAAACAGTCCAGCTTGTTGGGAAGTGGTGGAGGGAGGAAGTGCAGCAGCTTCAATAATAGAGGTGTGGGACATGACAGCATATCCAGCTTTAGCTGGTGAAAATTGATTGGGTTTAGAAGAACTGCCATCGATAAACCAAGTGTGGTCTTGGTTTGGAATTGGAAGAATAGAAATATGAGGAAAGGGGGAAGATGCTCTGTGTATTAGGGAAATACAGTCCTGTGATTCAGGACTTGTGTTGGGTGCTAAGTGAGAAACTGGTTTGAAATTGGGCCCATGGGAAATAGTTACTGTTGGAGTTTCAACAAAGAGTGAATAGAGCTGGCAGAGTTGTGGGGTAAACAATAAATGTGAAAGGTTTGAGGAGGATATTGATGCCTGAAGGTTGTGAGAACTGTAAAGGGTAAGTGGAGCATAGCCTCTGACTTTAAAGTCCTCTAGAAGTATTAAAGTGGCAGCCACCACTTTAATACACAGACATGAAGGCCAGCCCAGAACTGTGAGGTCAAGTTGTTTTGATAGAAAGGCAACAGGGAGCTGTCTCCAGGGCCTTTTTGAGAGAGCAAAAGGAAGAATGGGGAAAAGACTTAGGGCCTATGGGATCAGTTATTTTACCCTTTGTGAGCCTGTAAAGTGGCTTGTTTAGGATAGCAAACCTGGTATCCAGAGTCGGAAATATCCAACAATGCCTAAGAAGGAAAGGAGTTGTTGTTTGGTCGTGGGGATTGGGGTCTGGTAGAACAACTGAATACTTTCTGCAGGAAAGGGACATGTATGTTGATAGAGGATTATACTATAGGTACAACTAGGGGAAGAAATTTTTTCCTTGGAGGGGGATAGTAGGTACCCCTTTGAGTAGATATGTTGAAGAAGCAGGATAGTGTCCTGCTGGGAAGATTGGTAAGAGGGCCTCAAAGAAGATCAACAAAATATTGAATAAGGTGGGAGGCAGATGGGTAAAAAGAAAGCAGATTATGAGAAAATGCCTGGCCAAAGTAGTGTGGGCTGTTCCTGAAGACTTGGGGCAGAACAGTCCATGTATGTTGTTGGGATTGGTGGGTGTCAGGGTCAGTCCAAGTAAAAGTGAAAAGAGGCTTGGAGGAGGGATGCAAGGGGATAGTAAAGAAGGTGTCTTTGAGGTAGATAACAGAATAGTGAGTTGAAGACTCACTATTGAAGACAGGATATTGAAGGGGATATTGAAGACAGGAGAGTGTACAGGTTTGGCACTATAGGATAGATGAGAAGGATGGTTTGATTAACTAAGTGAAGATCCTGAACCAATCTGTAAGACTTGTCCAGTTTCTGGACGGGTAAGATAGGGAAGTTGTAAAGAGAATTTTTAGGCTTTAAGAGGCCATGTTGTAACAGGTGGGTGATAATAGGCTTTAACCCTTTTGAAGCCTGCTGTGGGATGGGATATTGGCATTGAATGGGGTAAGGGTGTTTAGGTTTTAACGGGATGACAAGGAGTGCATGATGGATCGCCAAGGTAGGAGTAGAGGTATCCCCTACTTGTGGATTAAGGTGGGGAGATACAAAGGGAGGATGTGAAAGAGGACTTAAGCTGGGTAAAAGTGCAGCAATAAGATGTGGCTGTAGCCCAGGAATAGTCAGGGAAGCAGATAATTTAGTTAAAATGCCTCCACCTAATAAGGGAGCTGGGCAGGTGGGGATAATTAAAAAGAAGTGCATAAAAGAATGTTGTCCAGTTTGGCAGGCAAGGGTAACAGGCCCTTGAAAAGAAGGTAATGTGGAGTGGTTGGACTCTGTATTGATTAAGAAGGAGATAGACTTACCCTCCACTGTAAGAGTTACCTGAAGCATCTGTGATGGTCCAGGAGTTTTGGGTCCATGGATAAAACGTGTCTCATTTGTCTCCACTAGAGAGGAAAAAGAACTGGAATTGGAAGGACAGGGAGATTGAAGGGTAGCAAGAGAGGCTGGAGAAGAGAGTGAAAAGACTGCTTACCTGATTTGAAATTGGTGAGATGTTCCTTGGGCTGGTTGGTCTGAGGACCTGAAGTCATAGGTGGATTCCTCACGGAGTGAGGTCAAGGACAGGGGACTAGTCTCCCAAAGGAGTCCTCCTGTCCCATGTCTTCAGCACCAAATGTCAGGTGAGTCCATGTGAAGAGACTACCAAACAGGTTTTGTGTGAGCAATAAAGCTATTGAATCACCTGGGTGCAGGTGGGCTGAGTCCAAAAAGAGTCAGCAAAGGGAGAAAGGCATGGGGCAGTTTTATAGGATTAGGGCAGGTAGTGGAAAATTAGTTAAAGGGGGTTGTTCTCTTGCGGGCAGGGGCAGGAGCAGGAGTCACAAGGTGCTTGGTGGGGAGCTCCTGAGATTCATTGTCCAGGAGAAGGAATGTCAGAAGTTAATGTCATCAGTTAAGGCAGGAACCAGCCATTCTTTTGTGGTTCTTCAGTTGTCTCAGGCCATCTGGATGTATACTGGCAGGCTTGGGCTCAGAGGCCTGACACTTATGTTTAAAGAAGAGGAAATTTGAAAAATAGTTACTTGGAATCTCCAAATGTGTGGGCATTGCTTGTATATTTTTTGGCTTAATTTGTGAGCTATCATGCAGTACATAGATCATCTCTTTTCTTACGAAAACAATCCACCATCTCTTATGATATGTGCATGGTAGTGGAAAATCAATAAGGTTGTTTTGTGTACTGGCTGCTGACATCCTGGGAGCTGCAAGAGGAAAGGACTCCCAGAGCTCATTGTGTAGATTTTCACTTATCCTTGTACACACTTGTGAAAGAAAAATATCTTGGGCCCCTTCCAACTAGAAATTGCTCAGGGCAAATCTGACTCCCATTCTATTCAAAGTCATCCCTCTGCTGACTGAGACAGATGCATATGTGATTGCCTCCTTTGGAAAAGCTAATCAGAAACTCAAAACAATGCAACTGTTTGTCTCCCACCTATCTGTGACCTGAAAGTCCCCTCCCTGCTTTGAGTCTTCCTGCCTTTGCTTCAAGTTATTCAACCTTTCCAGACCAAACCAATGTGCTTCTTACATATATTGATTGATGTCTCTTGTCTCCCTAAAATGTATAAAACTAAGCTATGCCCCAGCCACCTTGGGCACATGTCATCAGGACATCCTGAATCTATATCATGTGTGCATATCCTCAACCTTGGCAAGATAAACTTTCTAAATTAACTGAGATCTATCTCAAATTTTTGGGGTTCACATTTTTGGTAACCACAGAAGGATTCTGAGTGGAGATGCCCTGGCCTTTCACAAATATCTTATTGGAACTTGGTACCAACATGAGCTAACTTTATGGGTCAAACCAACAGGACAATTGGCTGAGGTCTGAGAGCACACCCTCAGGAGAATCCCTGATCTCCCAAAATTCTGTTAAGATCTAATGTATATTTTGCTGTACATCTCTTCTTTTGGAGTTTCACTTGCTTGCTGAAAGGTTCTTGTATTGGTTGGAAACCTGAGAGTGTGCCAACAGACAACACAAGGCAGTGTGGAGCAACATGCTCTTTTCATGAGCGCCTGGGTGCAGGTGGGCTGAGGCCTAAAATGGCGTCAGCTCCAAGTGAGGATGGGGCAACAGTTTTATAATCTCCTGTAAACAGAAAGCATCCCAGTCTGACGTTACTGCACATAGTACCCAGACGGCCTCTTTCTCGATTTTCAGGTATATGTGTCTTCCTCCTAGGGTACATGTCTTCTGTCCAGGGTAGGTGTCTTCCAGGCAGGGTACATGTCCTCCAGCTGGCTCTCCTCCTGCTTCTGCTATCTTGCTGACACACACTGCTGGCAGAAGTAGCATTGCACCTTGAGACTCGGCCTGAGAAGGGAGGAGTTATTCATCCCCCCAAGTTTTCCAGCCATGGGGAGAAATCTTTCATTCCTGTCTATTTGCTTATAGAAAAAGGAAAAGGAACGACATTTTCAATAACTACTTCAGGCCTGACATAGGCGTGGTGTGGGCCCCTTAGAAAAAGAAAAACTTAATTTTGGGGGTATTCTTGAGAGACCAGTTGATATCCATTGTGTCGTTACAGGAGGAGCATCATCTAGATTGTCTGGCAACTAAATGTAGTTTCAACAAGAGATTTAATGGCTTTTACTATTAGTGGGATAACACAGGGGAAAAAACAGAAGGAACCCATTGTTGAAGATTGCTGTACCTACCAGTATTTTAAATCCTCCTTAATTAGAGAACCACCCTCCTAGAAGGTTTGTTGGGTCCCATCCCTTCCAGGTTTGGACTGGTACATGGGCTACTTTTCCGATGTTTGAAGTGATTTCAAGAACCACTTTTCCATGATCATCTATGTTAAGACAGCAATTGGAGATATTAAACTTGCCACAGACCCCACATTCTTCTGCTAATCTAGCAATGGCCTGTTTTGATAAATTGACACGTGCATTTGGTTTTGTTGTTGTGCTTGCATTTCCAGGGCTGAGGCAGTTTGGTTAGCGATTATCTCTAAAACTGCCTGTCATCTAATTATTCTAATTAGCATATATATGGGAGTGAGATAACACCATGAAACATCCTCAGCCCAAGTGCCAGGACAGTAATATTCAATGATTCATTATGGAGGCCATTCGTCTTCTTGCCATCTTTAGCTTCCTCCTACCTTTAAGGATCATTTTTCTTTGTTTAGGTTATTATACACAGGGACTCCCAGTGTGTTAACCGCAGTTAATGTTTTGGAGGAAGGAGTAGCCTTGGGGGTGAGCTTGACTCTGGTGTGATGGGCCCAGTGGGGGATTCCTTAGACTCTCACTGCAGTTGGTGTGCTGAGTATCACAGTGTAAGGGACCTGTCCACTTCAGTTGTAGTTTTTGGTGAGGGTCAGGTTGGCAGATAAATATGTCTGTGCCTGCAAGACATTTATGTTGAGAGGACAAGGAGGTGTCTACAGGGAGAGGTATGGCCTCATTTGCTGTTTCACTAATGAAAGACCATGTCTGGATTAAGGAGGAGAGGTAACTCCTGAGTGGCTCAGAGTCTGGTAAGGGTGAAGGCCCTAAGACTAAAGTTTGGCCACACATGATTTCAAAGGGACTATAAAAAGGGTGCTTTTGGTGTTGCATGGAGTCTCACGAGGGTAAAAGGGAACTTTTTTTTTGTCCACGACTAGCAGGTTTCTAAGGCCAGCATGGTGAGTTGGGCATTAAGGACAGAGTTGACCTTTCCAACTTTGCCTGAAGATTGAGGCCTGAAGGGTGTAGAGACGCCTTAGGTAATTTGGCTGATAAAAGGCGGGCCTGTTATTGGATTGGATGCATGTTGGGAGTTCAAAATGGGGAGTTATATGCATGATGAGAGTTTGTGTGATGACATTTGCATGTTCTGAAGTTGTTGGGAACACTTCTACCAACCCGAAGAAAGTACAGACAAAGACTAGAAGATAGTAGAACCATTTATTGGGCAGTATGTGAGTGAAGTCTACTTGCCAATCTTGCCTGGATACCAGGCCCCAGGCTTGGTGGGTAGGAAAAGGCTGTGGCTGGAGGGAACCTTGGGGTGATACTGAGTAGCAGACAGAGCAGGACTGGGTAATCTACAAACCAAGTAAAGGAGGCATCTGGAAGGTGTTGGTCTGTTATGTTTGGAAAAATGTAAGAGCAGCATTCACACCGAATTGTATAGGGTCTTGGGTGGTTGTAGCTTCAGGTAAGAGCATGGCTGGGTTTAGATGGGAGCTGGTTAGCATGGTAATGTGGGGAGTTTCTATGAATAGAGCATACAGTTGGAAGAGCTGTGGGGCAGAGATGAGACTTAGTACACAGCAGTGAGCTAACATGTCTTTGATGTTTCAGGTTGAATCGACTGTTAGGTTGGCATGGAGAGATCATTTTAGGCTTTCAAGAGTGAGGACAGCAGCTGCTGCCAAGCTCAGAGACAAGCAAGCCATCCATGAACTGCAGCTTTAAGCTGATTAGAGAGGTAGGCAACAACCTGGAAGATGGGTCCCTTAGACTGGGTTAGAACACCTACTGCAACTCCATGCTGGTTAGCGGTATAGAGGGAGAAAGGTTTGGTGAGGTCTGGGAGAGTGAGAATGGGGGCTGATGTGAGAGCCTTCTGGAGGATGGAAATGTTGGGTAATAGGCTGTGTGGGGTTTAAAGGCTCATGGAGAGGGCCTTTAGCCGCCTGGTATAACGGTTTGGCAAGTAGAGTGAAGGAGGGAACCCAGAGCCTAAAATAAACCACTAGTCCTAGAAAAGAGAGAATGTCTTGCTTAGTTTGCAGAGGTGGAAGGGAGTGGAGGTGCAATATGCAGTTGGTTGTGAGCCCTTGGAGTCACGGGGTAAGACTAGGCCTATATAGGTGACTGAGGAGGTGCATATTTGTGCTTTCTGAGGGTGGACACATAAGTTTTCTGATCCCACATTAATGATTTTTTTCTAGCATTACTTTATCTCTTGCCATGAAAGATGTATCTCATTAAGTTTTTATTTAAGGCCATTTTGACCTTTTTTACTCTTAACTTTGGATTTTTTAAAGTTTAATATTTTCTTTCTCATCAGAAACCACCATCAGTCTGTTCCATATTCTCCTCATGGCCTGTTTTACTTCCTTATTCCTGAAAGTGTAAATCAAAGGATTGAGCAAGGGATTTAAGATGATATAAAATATTGCCGCCATTTTGTCAAGGGAAAAAGCAGATGGAGGTCGTGTATATACAAATATGCATGGGACAAAGAACAAAATCACAACAGCAATGTGAGATCCACAGGTGGAGAGAGCTTTCCAGCGCCCTTCAGAACTGTGTGTTCTCAGAGAGAGCAAGATGACAGCATAGGAGACAAGCAACAAGGAGAAGTTTATGATGCAGATAAACCCACTGTTGATGACCACCATGAGGCCAAAGATGTGAGTATCAGTGCAGGCAAGCTCCAGTAACGGGTACAAGTCACACATAAAGTGATTGATGACATTGGGGCCACAAAAGGGAAGCTGGAAAGTAAAAAGAATTTGTATCATGGAATGCAAGAGGCCCCCTGTCCAGGCTACCCCCATCAGAATGCCACAGAGCCTCCTGTTCATGATAGAAGAGTAATGCAAGGGCTTGCAAATGGCCACATAACGATCATAGGCCATGGCTGTGAGGACAATCACCTCCACCCCAGCAAAGAAGTGTTCAGCAAAGAGCTGCATCATGCAGCCTTCAAAAGAGATGGTTTTTGTCACATAGAGGGAGTCTACAATCATCTTTGGGGTGATGACAGATGAGAAGCACGCATCCAGGAAGGACAGGAAGCCCAAGAAGAAGTACATAGGAGACACCAGAAGAGCAGGGCTGCTGAGAATGGTTACTACAATTAGCATGTTGCCCCCAACAGTTGCAATGTAGACAAACAAAAATACAACAAATACTATTTCCTGAACATTTGGATTCTGTGAAAGTCCCAGGAGGACAAACTCAGTTACAAAGCTTTGGTTTTGCATGTTTCCCAAGGAAAAGATGAAAGCTCCAACAGGGATCATGTATAGTCTGCAATTAGGACAAAGGAAAATTTGCTTCAGATCAATTTGTGGTATCATAGTCATTAACAAGTTGGTACATCCAAGTGCAAAATTATTGAGTGCTTCTGTTGTCATTGAGAACATAAATTAGAAATTATTGAAGGTAGTACTGAAATATCAGACAGAATTGTGATAGAGATAATTTAAAGAATACTTGAAAGAAACAAGAGGTTCAATATGGGGGAAGGATATGTGGTAGAGAAGAGAAAGAGTTTTCATATCAAGTGCCAGCTTTGATCATTTACTAGTGGCTTCCTGGAGTGAATTATTGAGAAGTATTCTGAAGTTACCTCTAAATTTTGAGAGAAGGAGCATTGTAACTTATTACTTATTTCTGCCATTGGCATCAAATGAGAGCAGGGATGACCAGCATCCCATTCCTAATCGGGAGACTGCTTTATCTGCAACTAGAAGAAAACAGCGTATAGTTCAAGAGGCACTTAAAAATTATGGCTGCTCTTCAAATATTTCTTTAAAAGTCTTAACTGAATTCATTCTTTACAAAAGAGAAAGATCTTTAGAAAAATCTCTAGCCTGACATTTAAAACATAAAAAGTATGCATTAAGTGCGGAGTGTTTTCTTAAATCTGTCATTTTAAAATGAAAACAGAAGTTTATTATTATTATAAAAGTAATAATGCCTACAACAGAATGTTGTTATGATAACTGGTGAAACAATGGAAGGCTAAGGACCGACTGCCCTAGGGAATGGTCTGCATTAGGTCTTATTATTCCTATTTGATTGGTGGGAAACTCATGCTTAAAGAAGTTAAGTTTAAGCAAATAACAGACAATCTGGGATATTAACACAAAATCTCAGGCTCCAACACCCAATTCCTTTCCACTAGATCAGCAGGGAAAGGAGTGGGGATATTCCTTTTCCAGTAAGAACTTCAAAGTAGGAATGGCCTTTCTACAAACACTTGCATGTACAAATTGGCATCAACCACATAAGTAAGGAAGAGAAACAATATATTGAATATAAACCGGAATCTTGAGGCTTTATTAATTATTTTCCAATTATTTATATAAAGTAATCAGGTCTAATGAAGTTTAATTCCTAAAAGAAGTGTATATTTCAACTTTATATGCATTATTGTGTAGCAGAGGTGTTTATATATAGCTTACCTGCTCATGTCTCAGGATTATGATGATGGTCAGATTTGAAAATGTGAAAATTTTACTTATAATAAAGTGCTCTTACCAATTGTATTTACTCACTTAAAAAGTCAGCCACCTTATCTACAAAAAGCTTTTTCATGAGTCATCTAGATAATTACTCTCCAACTTTTGACTTCATTTCCACAGGCAGACACAGCTTTAAAGGATAATTCTGTCTTCACCTATATATATATAATTGAAATGTGTTTTTCAATTACCATATATAAGTGTGTGTTTGAATATTTGTATATGTGTATATTTATATGTGTATACACCTTTGTTAAAAAATAAGTGAATAAAAAAGAATAAAGAGATTTATTTTGAGATTTAAATAAGCTGATTTTTATGAATGTCACTTGGAGTTAACAGAAACAATTTAAAATGTTAATAAAACTAACAAATATACAATTGTGTATGTTAATATATGTTCTTTTGCTTATTTTAAAACAATCATTTCCATTATGTTTTCAGTTTCATTTGTAACCAGTGTCTGCACTAGGAATTCCATATACAGTTATAAGTTATCATCAGGAAAATATGAGCTGGAACAAACCTTATAAGGTTATTAGATAAGTCAATAACCATTTATTGCAAAGGAAAGCATGTTAGTAAATGATCCAACAGTGCTCAGCTTAGCCGAGAGCCAAAGTGGGAAATACGATGAAGTGAAATGAGTAAGAACTTCAGTTCCAGACTCATATAGACGTAGGTTCAAATCCAAGCTCTCCTACTTGTTCTATGGCATGTTAGAACAAGTCACTTCAAATTCTTAACATTCTCAAAGCCTCAGCTTCCACTTCAGTAAATGGATATGATGTCTATCTATACATATCTTGTGAGTATAAGAAAGCAATACACACAAAAGCACTGATGCAGTAAGAAGCATAGAAGATCATGATGAGTGGTGAGAACAAGCCCTCAGAGCCATTGACACAGAGCAGAAATAACATTTTTACACTAATTTTTGCTTTACCAAGACCAAGGTGGTTTTACTCATCCTTTAACACATGGACACAGGAAGGGGAGCATCACACACCGGGGCCTGTTGTGGGGTGGGGGGAGTGAGGAGGGACAGCATTAGGAGATACACCTAATGTTAAATAACGAGTTAATGAGTGCAGCACACCAACATGGCACATGTATACATCTGTAACTAACCTGCACGTTGTGCACATGTACCCTAAAGCTTAAAGTATAATAATCAAAAATTTAAAAAAAAGAAAATGTGCCACATATACACTATGGAATACTATGCAGCCATAAAAAAGGATGAGTTCATGTCATTTGTAGGGACATGGATGAAACTGGAAACCATCATTCTCAGCAAACTATCACAAGGACAAAAAAACAAACACTGTATGTTCTCACTTATAGGTGGGAATTGAACAATGAGAACACTTGGACACAGGAAGTGGGACATCACACACCGGGGCCTGTTGTGAGGTGGGGGTAGGGGGGAGGTATAGCATTAGGAGATATACCTAATGTAAATGACGAGTTAATGGGTGCAGCACACCAACATGGCACATGTATACGTATGTAACAAACATGCACGTTGTGCACATGTACCCTAGAACTTAAAGTATAATAAAAAAATTTTAAAAGAGAAAAAAATAAAAATAAAAATAAATTTTGAAAAATGTTAAATATTTTATTTGGTCTGTCTCAGTGCAGACATGATATTTTAAAATGCACAACACTTTTAAATGTCTTTAGTAATCCCTGAATAAAGTACTGTGGCCCCCATTCTGTCAAATATCCACTTCTATTTCAAATAGCTTCATTGTACATAGAAAACTCCATAAAAGTTGGAGATGGAAAGAAAGACAAGGCTCTATATTAATCTAATAATTAAACAATTCTTAATCTCTCCACTTCCTTTAGCTGGGCTGTTCTAAGAAGAATAACATTTTAGAATTAAAATATTTAGTAGATATAAAGAAACCAACCACTTATTTCAGATAAAAGGAATTTCCAAAATTAGTGTGGAAACTTTGACAATAGAAAGTATAGCATCTTCATAATGTATGATAACAAGATTTATGGTTTTAAATCATTTTAAAAGAGTCTTAAATGTGATGTGTTGCTTAAGATTGAATCCTAGAATAGAAAAAAGACAGGAGAAAAAATAGTCAAATATGAATAAACCTGGTGTTTAGTTAATAGTATATATCAACGTTCATTTCATAGTCTTCACAAATAGTAGTGTAAGAAGAAAATATTAAGGGAAACTAAGTGAGTAGTATACAGAAGCTCTCTATACTATCTTCACAACCTTTCTCTTAATCTAAAATTACTTCTAATGAAAAGTTAATTAAAAAGTAATTTTTTTCTGCTATCAAAAAGATAGCAATCTCTGCTTCATCTACTAGCCATGTATCATGAACAAAGCGCTATGTTTCAGCATCCTCTGCTATAAAATAGGTAGCAATACCTGAAGCTTCCTGACCCATGAGAGTCCAATAGACAGTTATTGTGAATGTACTTTGCAAAGTATAAATTAAAAGGAAGATATGAAATCTTTATGTCAACATTATTTTTAAGCAGCATCTACATACACAAAGTGAGCTGGAAAATTGAATCGATCATAAGAGTATAATACGTGTGTTCAAAATCATGCTATTTTTAAGTTACATCCATTCTAAAATTACAATAAAACTGCTTAATTCATGTCATCCTTTTGTAAAACATATTAGTAAATAGCTTCAGAATTATAAACATGTTTATTTTATTTATACCAGTAACCTCAACTCTAAGAACATATTCCAAAAGTGAAATGAGATGGGAAAGTTTTATAATAAAAGATGGTGCAATGTCATCTCAATTTTCAATGTGAAAATTGAGAAATATCTAAAATATACAATCATAGGAAGATATTCATCTAAATTAGACTATCACAAATTAATATCACATTTGCTATAAATAAAATACTAATTAATGACATGAGGACATAGAAGTTGAGGTATTTTTACAGTATTTTAAGTGAGAAAACAGAAAAAATATAACTCTGCCAATTGGATAGATATTTTTAATATAATTTTATGATCTAGAAGGAAACATATAAAATGACAGAGACTCTATTTTCTCTGTATATCCTGTATTATTGTAAGAATATTTAAAATTAAACATCAAGTTTAAAACTCACACAGCCATATTTTCCACCATCTAAACAGTTCAAAAAGGAGATGGAGTTTGGGGATAACTCATTTGCACACATGAAACTAATAAGCTAACATAACACAGAATCAAATACTAAAAATTTTAAACTTCCTATACTTCCCATAAATAGCCATATTATGGGCCCAGCCCTCTCCACCCTTTAGACATTTATTTTAATATCAATTTAAAATTCATATTTTCCTATAGGTAGTGGTTTATTTTGTTCATGTTTCTCATAGAACATTCCGTGGTCTTTCCTTTCTTGATAACCACACACTTAATATGCTGGAGCCACCCCTGAGACTGCCCCATGGCCCCTCACATCATGAACTGTGGTTGCTGGGCCATTTCTTGGGCTGTGACCTGAGGAAGTGGCTTCCTCATTCCCCTCTATACACATTGCCTACTATTTCCTTCCCATCAGTTTTAACAACAAAACTAATTCTATTTGTCCTGGAAATAATAGAATTCCTATTTCAAGTATGAAGTATATACAACATTCAAAACTATAAGAAGTATTAGTAGTAAGGTTATCATTACAAGTAACATTTTGTAGTTATAGTTCAAGCAGTAAATTTTAGAGACATTTATATGGACATATGAATGCATATTAGTCACATTTGCATACATTTTTCCAAATAAATATTGTTATGACAAAGAAGAAGAACAAATCAAAATCCTATTTTTAACTATCCCCCCTGTTAAGTTTCTTAAATCTACCACATTTTTGATCCAGGATTATTATTCAACAATGAAAAGTTTTTTCCTGGCCTGTCTAGCTAAGCATGTTCCTTTCCCTAGCAATCTGGGAAATAATGCTCTCTTCAACTTTCAGAATTTCAGATCATTTCCTGTTTTCAGTGTTGCTCTGTTGATTTCCCTAAATGCTCCAACTTTTATACCATTACTTTCTGGAATTTGAAAGAAAAAAAAAGTTTTCTTTTTCCACTCGTGTCCTTTCTCCTGTCTATTGGATGCCTGACCCTTCCTTTTTTCTTTTTCTTTCTTTTATTTTTTTGAGACAGAATTTCTCTTATCTCCTAGGCTGGAGGGCAGTGGCACAATCTCAGCTTACTGAGACCTCCACCTCCCCTCGTGGGTTCAAGCATTTCTCCTGCCTCATCCTCCCGAGTAGCTGAAATTACAAGCACCCACCACCACACCTGGCTAATTTTTGTATTTTTAGTAGAGACTGGGGTTTGCCATGTTGGCCAGGCTGGTCTTGAACTCCTGACCCCAGGTGATCTGCCTGCCTCAGCCTCCCAAAGTGATGAGATTACAGGCATGGGACACCATGCCTGGCTCTTTTTTTTTTTTTTTTTTTCTGTTTTCTTAGTGATTTATCTCATTTTAAGGAGGAGACAAAGCCATGACAACTAGTTCTAAAGCAATTCACAGCTTCAGGCATTTAAATTTTCCTAAACAATTCAAAGGAGGGAACTTAAAGCTACTTATGACATGAGATGCACTTGGGAAAAGTGAGGGGGCCATAGTTAGAAGAATTTACTCTGTGGCTTGGGTCATGATTTTTCATCCTTGGTGTCCTTCTCAGGGTCATTTGTTAGGGGATAATTGTGGAAATAGTGAATGTTTCACTCTATATCAGTAAATATCGTCAGTATCATTCTATATCAGTAAATATAATCAGTATTTAGCTCTGTAAATGATACAGTAGTACTTGAATTATCCATGTTACATCAGTTTTCTCTATACAGCCTCAGGAAATTCTACTCTTTAAAACATCAGGAAAGTGGGAGCATTAGAGGATAAATGGTAATTATTTTATTAAACTTGAAGTAATTAGGTGCTTTGATCCTCCAAAAACCACCAGCTTTCATTTTGTTATAACAGCTGCTGTTTACTGGGTACCTATTATGTGTCAAGTGCCATCCTATGGTCTCTGCATGTATTATTTTATTTGTTTCCACATTCTTCAAGCTTACTAATATTATTGTCCTCATTAAATATGAGGAGTCAGAGAATCAGAAAGGCTATGTAACTGCCCAAGTTTACAATTATTAAGTGTAAGCTCATGCATGGCATTAAAATTTGTATCCTGACCACAACACCCACACTTTGAAGCACTACAACATAACTTGAAATCCTCTCAGAAAATGCAAAAATTTGAATTATAATCTCACCATTTATCAGTTCCTTGAAAATTTTGGTGATGCCAGTCTCCTATTCTCTATAGTGAAGAATCCATCCAGTGGCTAAACATGATGTTGTTTTCAGCTCTTCCTTCTACATTTAATAGACAAAGGAAGAGCATCTCTGGCAGATGAGGTAGGGAGTGTTCCCCACTCCTTTTCAGGTGCTGTCTTCAACATGGTCTCAGGAAAAAAATAAAAATAAAGGAGCAAAAGTTTCCTCCTTGATTTCTAACAGGAATTTAAAGAGGTTTCCCTGAGAGGTCATGAACTTGCAGAATAGTTCCTCCATTCCCCCAGGGTTTGGAAATGTCCCATCAGTATGATTTTCTAAGAAGCAATTTTATGTGGTTTGACTTGTTCGAGAGTTTGCAAAACTTTCATGGCCCTGATAATTAGAGTTTTTGTTTGTTTGTTTGTTTTAACTTCTTCTGGGTTTCTATTTGAAGATGCTTTCCTTTCCCTTTGTGTTCAGGAATACAACACTGTGTACTGTGATGAAATATGTTTCTGCAGAATTCGGGGAAAATGCCTACTCACTACTTACTAAAGAGCGATTTCTGGGACAAGGCAGCATTAGTCAATAAGGACAACGTGTGTTGTTTTGGGACTATGGTAGCAATGAGATGAGTGCTTATTAAAGAATAACATTTTATGTATAAGTATGCAAAGAGGTATAGAGTAATTGAAACATGATCTTTTTTCTCCCAGAAAATTTTATCTTTTTATTTTATTTTATATGAAAAGAAGATATGGTCTGTTTAAGATAACGTAGCATTGAGACTGAAGCTTGAGGGACAACTTAAACTGATCTCCTCAGGTCCCTTTAGAAAGGGACCACATCAAACAATTGGCTGCTTTCCACAGTCTCTAAACATTTTTACCTATTTCTTTGCAAATATGTAATTTTTAATTTTCTCAGTGATGAATGACATGCTTACAGAAATACACACACAAAGCATTCATGTAAAGGTTGATGAATTATTACAAGGCAAATATACGTACGTAACCAAGAAGTAAAACCAGCCTCACTTACACCACCAACAATCACTTTCTTCCTCCTTCCCCTATAAAGGTAACCAATGTCTTAAGAGCCAACATTGTACATCAACTTTCTCTTCTTATACAAGTATTATATTATAGAAAATTTAAAACATATACACAACAAATAAAATAGCGTAATAGACCCCATCACTCAGCCTCAACAATTACTAATCATGTGCCATTTTTGTTTCATCTGTACTTCAACCCATTCACTAAATTCCACTTTATTATTTTTTTTCAGTTTTTCTTTTGGTGTGTGTGATATCCTGCCTATTTTTATATCTATTCACATCCCACAGAAAAATGTAGGATTGAAGTGATTCATCAAAAAAGTCAAGGGCCAGAAGCACCGTTACTTCAATTGTCTAGTAATTTACAGAGAAGTGTTTCCTTGTCATTGGATTTTAGATGTGTGTTCTGAAACAGAAAAGTCACCTGGCATAGACCACAGTCCTGGTTATGGTGATATTTTTGAAATATCACTCAGCAACAAGACTTCAGCAATTCATTCTTGAATCCTGGTTCTCACTTCAAACCACAGCTATACAGTTAGAATATTCTACTTTATCCCATATCCTGCTTTGCTTAATTTTTATTAGTACTGTAACATGAAAATAAGATTGTAAAGATGGGCCAGGCATGGTGGCTCAAACCTGTAATCCAAGCTGTTTGTGAGGCCATGGCAGGAAGATGACTGAAGCCCAGGAGTTTGACACTAGCCTAGGCAACAATAGGGAGACCCCAACTCTATAAATTTTTTTTTTAAATTAGCTGGGTATGGCAGCACTTGCTGGTGGTCCCAACTACTCCAGAGAATGTGGTAGGAGGATTGCCTAAGCCCAGGAGGTCGAGGCTGCAGTGAACTGTATTTGCACCACTGCTCTCCAGCCTGGGTGACAGAGCAAGATCCTGTATCAAAAAAAAAAAAAAAAAGAGAGAAAGATTGTAAAGATGGAGTAAGGCAATAATATAAGAAATATATTATATTTGCACAGTTATGAAAAATAGAATAACTCAGAAAAGTTTAAATAGTTTAAATCAGAAAAGAGAAAGACAGAGACAGAGAGAGCCATAGTCAAGGAGAAGAAATAGCAGGTGAAGGAATAGCCTGCTGTCCAGGCATCTCTTCCTATTCATGTCCAGGAACCATCTCTTCTTGTTCTTTGCAAATCCTGCATATGCTGAAATAATGCCTTTGCACTTCTTTACTACTACTTATTTAACTCTATTTTACCTCATTACTTATGATGTTGCATCATTTATGGGGCTGTCCATGAATATGGGATTCCAATGACTCTCTCAAAGACATTTTCTTAGTAATGATCACAGACACAAGTCTGATAACCAGAGCCTGCAAGATTATGTGAACAAGTTCCTTTCTTGGTTATGTCAAATTGACCTTTAGGAATTTTAAAGCATTAGTATAGGACTATACATCTTCCAACCATGACTTCTATTGAGCACATTAGACTATAATCAAGGTATTCCTGGAAAGTGATATCTTTTGACATTGTCAATAGCCCTACCTTGCAAACACCACCACCAAGGCAGAGGACAGATGAAAAAACTGACTGCAGAATCAAGAAAAGTGGTTTCATTCATGCGAGACATGTCCCTCATCACATACGGCTTAAGATCAACACAGGAGAATACAATGTTAACATCCTTGTTACCAAAGGAAGCAAGAAAGGGCAACCATTGGACAGGTTAGTCAACACTCCAGAGCAAAGGTCGTTAAAGCCGTTGAAATGGATAAGCCTAGCCACCCATAAAGAACTTCCTGACACATAGCATAGAGCCTGCGGAAGAGACGAGATGGCCTTTTTGTGTGCCAGCATTAAGGATGCACAAGATAAAAGATGTCTGCCATCACTCTTACCACCTGCAGGGCCATAGATGCTGGCACTGCATCGAAGTATGAACAGATAAAAGCTGACTAAGCCCCACACACATTTCCAAGGCCAAGGGTTGGTAGGGGCTCATTTATATCCCAGAACTTTGTCCCTGTCCTATGTCACCCAGAATCATCATGTCAATACAATTCTAGTAACCAATGTAGTACAATCCCATGAAAAAAATAATGAACTAGCCTCTGGAAGACATTTGCTTGTCAAGCTGTACTCCTGCTACTCTGATCCTGGCCACAGAGCCTGGGATAACTTCATAGGTGCAGCAGCCAGAGCTTCTGAGGATGTCTGGGTAATCCCATGGAATAGAGTGACAAAAAGCTTCCCAAACAGGAAAAACAGGAAGGGGATCCATGCAGTTGGGTCTGGGCTGGAATGCCCCATCAAAAGCACTGCCCAGTCCCAGATACTGAAAGAAAATTTGGAAAATTTTAATGAAGATACTCCAAAGTCTGGACTTGAGAGTAGCAGCCCTACTTGTGCAGGAGTAAGGACAATACTATCTAAAATATTATTTCTGGGCTGGGTGAGGTGGCTCATGCCTGTAATCCCAGCACTTTGGGAGGCCGAGGTGAGCAGATCACTTGCAGTCAGGAGTTGGAGAGACCAGCCTGGCCAACATGGTGAAACCCTATCTCCACTAAAAATACAAAAATTAGCCAGGCATGGTGTCACACACCTGTAATTCCAGCTACTTGGGAGGCTGAGGCAGGAGAATCGCTGGAACCTGGGAGGCGGAGTTTGCAGCGAGCTGAGGTTGTGCCATTTCACTCCAGACCGGGTGACAGAGTGAGACTCCATCTCAAAATAAATATATTATTTCTTCCCATCTAAAAATAAGAAATGAGTTAGTCATGCAAATGATTGGAATAAAGTTTTCCAGGCCGAGAAAATAGCCTATGTAAAGGTTTTATAGCAAGAGTCTACCTGGCTAGGAAGAGGAACAGAAAGGCTGTTTGTTGTAAGAGAGGTGTTCAGAGAAAGAATAGGGCAGCCAGAGTATAGCTGTCAGATATTTAGCAATTATAGTAGTTTTAGATTTTACCCTGAGTGACATAGAGAGCTATTGCAAAGTTTTGAGTAGAGGTGTGAAATGATGTGACTGACTTGTGAATTTAAAAGATACCTCTGAGTATGGTGTTGAGAATCAAATATTGGACTGGGGGAAATTGAAATAAAAGCAGGAGGAGTAGGGAGAGGCAATTGCAATAATCCAGGTAAAAGATAATGGTGGCTTGGAACTGGGTGACAGATCTAAAAGTGATTAGAAATAGTTGAATTTGGAATACATGTTGAAGGTTGAGTCTATTGGATTTCCTGATAGACTGGATTTGGGGAGCACATCTTTAGACCTGTTCAGTTCAAGGAATCTATTAGTCATTCAGATGGAAGTGACATAAAAGAGATTGGATTTCCAAGTCTTAACTTCAAGACAGAAGTCAGAGCTGGACATATTTACTAATTGGGGAATCTTGGTTAAGTTTAGAGAGTCTGACAAGGAAAACTGATTTAAATGTTGCTAATTGATTTAATAAAATTAGAAATGAGAAGTGACCATTAAATGTCATGATACAAGGGTCATTGGTGTCCTTGAGAAAAGCATTTTCAGAAAGCATTAGATATTGAGTATGACTAAAAGGCACTATCAAAGAATGAAAGGAGAGAAGTGGGAAACAAGCATAGATATCTCTTGAGTTTTGTTCCAAAGGAGAAAGAATGGAATGGGATAACAATTGATGAAAGAAGTAGGCTCAATGGAAGGATTTTTTTAAAGAAAAGAGATACTTAAAAATTGCTTCTTTTCTGATGTAATGATCCAATATAGAAGTAAATGTCGATCAAAGAAGAAAAGGAGAGACTGTTAGACCAATGCCCTTGTGTAAGCAATAAGAGCATGGCCTCAGTCCAGCACACAGCAAAGTGGTTTTCTTGGCTTTGGATTGGGGAACAGATAATTTATGTGTAGTAGCAGGTAGGGAGACAGCATATAAGTGAATGGATGTTGGCAGATTGGTAGTGTTTATGTATTTGTAAGAGTCTGGAAGTTCTCTTCTTATCACTTACATTTTCTTAGTAAAATGAGAAGGAATCTCACCTTATGGTTCAATGAATTTGCAGTAGTTTTTAAGGCATATCTCCTTTATATTAAAGTACCCTTCTATTCCTAGTTTGCTATGCATTTAAATCATGAATAGAACTAAATTTTCAAATTCAAATCTATAGATATTCATGATTTATAAACTATTAATAACAGTAAGCACTTATAAAAAAATGAAGACCAAGATTTATTCCAGAAGTCAAGAGTGTTTTAAAACAAAAAGTCAGGCATTGAGCTGCCAGGTAATGTGTTTTATTAGTAAAACTATTTAATGTGAATTAATTTGGGGGATGTATAGAATATAGAAGAGAAGAATTTGTTTTGGATATAACTGACCAGTAACAATTTCAGCATGAGTGTTCAGAAGAGCTCTTATCTATTAAGTAGAAGATATAGATTCTAGGACTACTTCTGACACTATAAAAATTATCAAGCAGATTACAAATATTTGAAGTTAGGGATCTCATTATGATCCTTTCACTTCTTTAATTTTATAATTGAACTAAGAATGTGGCCATCATAAAGCTCTTACATAGACTCAAGTTATCATACTATCAAGGCATTTTCTTCTTTTCTGACATAAGGCAGGCTGAAGACATGTAAAATGAATCCAGGTATTTACTCCTAAAATATTATGGCTTTTCTAATTTTTAATCTCTTTTTTTGAGATAGTGTCTTGCTCTGTCACCAAGGCTGGAAGGAGTGCAGTGGCACAATCACAGCTCACTGCAGCCTCAGACCCCTGGGCTCCAGCAGTCCTCCTGTCTCAGCCTCCCAAGTAGCTGGGATTACAGGCACACACCACCACATACAGCTATTTTATTTTTTTGTGTTTTTGTAGAGACAGGGTCTCACTATGTTGCCCACACTGGTCTTGAACTCCTGGACTCATTCAAGCCATCCTCCCTCCTTTGCCTCCCAAATTGCTGGGATTACAGGCATGAGTCACTGAGCTGAGCCCTAATTATAAAATATTATTAAGCAGGCAATAAAACCTATGTTCTACTCTTGTCATAGCAAAAGTTAAATGGAAGCCATATGCAAAGAATTTTGATGCTAAGTTTCTGAAGTCATCTATAAGACCTTGATGGGTGGAGGTTTTATTTATTTATTTATTTGCCTTTTTTGTTTTATTTTTATAGATTTTAGAGGTACAGCGCAGTTTTCTTACATGGATATATTATGAGGTGGTAAAGTCTGGGCTTTTATTGTACCCATTGTTCAAATTGTGAACATTGTACCAATAGGTCTTTTTTTTAGTATTCCATGGTATATTGATATACACACATATGCACACAGCATATTTTCTTAACCAATCATTTGTTGATGGACTCTTATGTGGTTTGGCTCTGTGTCCCCACCCAAATCTCGTCTCAAATTGTAATTCCCAATGTTGGGAGAGGGACTTGGTGGGAGGTGATTGGCTCATGGAGGTGGATTTCTTCATTGCTCTTCTCATAATAGTGAGTGAGTTTTCCCAAGATCTGGTTGTTTAAAAGTGTGTAGCACTTCCCCCTTCACTCTCTCTTTTGATGTGAAGTAGTGAAGGTGTGCTTGCTTCCCCTTTGCTTTCCACCATGATTAAAAATTTCCTGAGGCCTCCCAGCCATGATTCTTGCACAGCCTGTGGAACTGTGAGTCAATTAAACCTCTTTGCTTCATAAATGACCCAGCCTCAGGTAGTTCTTTATAGCAATGTGAGAACAGACTAATACAGAAAATTGGTACCAGGAGTAGGGCATTGCTATAAAGATACCTGACACTTTAAAACTGGGTAATGGGCAGAGATTTGAACAGTTTTGAGGGCTTAGAAAAAGACAGAAAGATGAGGGAAAGTTTGGAACTTCCTAAAGACTTGTTGAATAGTTGTGACCAAAATGCTGATAGTGATATGGACAGTGAAGTCCAGGCTGAGGTGGTTTCAGATGGAGATGAGGAACTTATTGGGGAGTAAAGTAAATGTCATGTTTTGCTATGTTTTATCAAGGAGACTGGAAGCATTGTGTCCCTGCTCTAGAGATCTGTTAAACTTTGAATTTGAGCGAGATGATTTAGAGATCTGATAGTTTTAAAAAGTGGAATTTCCCTGTACAAGCTCTCTTTTCTTGTCTGCCGCCATGTGAGACATGCCTTTTACCTTCTGCCATGATTGTGAGGCTTCTCCAGCCACGTGGAACTGTAAGTCCATTAAACCTCTTCCTTTTTTAAATTGCCCAGTCTTGGGTATATCTTTATAAACAGCATGAAAACGGATTAATACAGGATGTGATTATTATTAATTTAAGCATTACTTTAATTTCCATAAACTCAATAAACTAATGATTAAAAAGTAATAGCCTTCTCTGATCAAAGCCCTGCCTACTTTTCATATCCCACATTGCACTGCATTTCCCCTTGTCCACTGTGCACTGATTTTTGGAAATTCTTTACTTCAGGCTAGTGCCTGCCTTAGGGTTTCTGGACAGCCTTTTCTCTTTTGCCTAGAATGCACATCCAACTGAAATGCTTAAAGTTTGTTTTATCTCATCACTGAAATCTCATTTTAGAAATTCCTCTCAGAAAAGCCCCCATGTCCACCTAACTAGAATTAGAACTAGTCATGCCACACCACTTTATTACAATTTTCTGAGAGTCAATTATCTCTATGATCTTATTTTCATTTCTATATGTCATCTCCTGAACTAAAATGTAAGCTCCAAGACATGATGAAAACATAGGGATGTCTTATTTAACACTGTATACCCAGTTGCTGGAAGAGGAACCGAAACTTTTTACAAGCTCAGCAAATATTCTTCAATGAATGAATGAACCTAGTAATTATTTCATATAATTGGCGATTGCACATATATATTTTAATTTTAAAATAAACATTTTTATTTAAATATTGTTTTTTCCAAATATTATAACTGATCTTATAATTATTATTATATATGTGTATGTGTGTGTGTGTGTGTGTGTGTGTGTGTGTGTGTGTATATCCTCTTTTTTTTTTTTGATGGAGTCTAGCTCTGTTACCCAGGCTGGAGTGCAATGGTGCTGTCTCAGCTCACTGCAACCTCTGCCTCCTGGGTTCAAGCTATTCTCCTGCCTCAGCCTCCAGAGTAGCTGGGATTAGAGGCGACTGCCACCACACTGGATAATTTTTGTATTTTTAGTTGAGACGGAGTTTCACCATGTTGGCCAGACTGTTCTCGATCTCCAGACCTCGTGATCTGCCCACCTTGGCCTCCCAAAGTGCTAGGATTACAGGTGTGAGCCACCCCACCAGCCTATATATTTGTTTTAATAAGAAAACAGAATGGTAAACATTGCTATGACCTTAGGCGTCCCAGCTACTTCATCAAGGGAGACAGTTTAAAACAGAATTAGTGTCTTTCTAGTGAAAGCTTTTTCACAGAAGGATCTAGGAGAAAATAAACATCCTTTGGATTTGGAAATTTAAATCTCAAATCTCAGCAAAACCATTCTTTCACAGTTAATAAAATAGATGTATACAGTTGCTCTGGTCCCATAAAGAACATATAATTCCAAGACATAGATACTTTTTTAAAAACTCTTTTTTAGATATGGGGTCTTGTTCTGTTGCCCATCCTGGTCTTGAACTCCTGAGCTCAAACCATCCTTCTGCCTCAACCTCAACCTCTGGAGTAGCTGGGACCACAGGTGCATGCCACCATGCCTGGGCTCCAAGACAGAACCTTAGATTCCAAGGTATCTTGAATCAAACACAATGAACTTTATTCTGCTTCTCCCATGAGTGACAAGAGTTACTAGAGAACTTTGGTAAAGTGGTGGCTCCTTTATTAAATTTTACACTAATAAGCTGAGATTGTCTTTGCTTTCAAAGTAACAACTTGGCATCAGGCAAATAGGGGATTCTGACTCCCCCAGTGCATGTATGTATTTGCCCTCCCCACTTCTTTCTTTATATTTATTTGCAAAAATTTTTTTAACTCAAAGTCTCTTTTAGACTTATATTCATCCAATAATATTTAGTAAGCACATACTAGGTGACTGGGAGTATTCTAATTATTGGGTTTACAGCACCAGTGAGTAAACATATTTTGTGCCTTGAGAAGAATTACAAGCTTTTAGAGAAAACATAAGGTAAAAGCCAAAACAAAATTTTTAAAGTATAATTTGTGACCATCAATAATAAGGATATAACTAGTATGTGGAATTAGAAAATAACTGAAAGGAATGACCAAAGAACATCACCAGGAAAGACTCTTCTGAAGAGGTAGCAGTCTATCTGAAGATAAAAAAACAGTGACAGGGAGCCAGCCAACCAAAGGCTCTGGGAAAGATCACTATAGTAGTGAGAAAAACAACAAAATCCCTGAACTGGGAAAAGCTCAGATTATTCAAAATACCATGGTTGGTTGTTTTTTGTTGTTGTTGTTGCTGTTTGTTTGTTTGTTTGTTTTAATTGTGTGTAGAGCTTTGGGAAAAAGGGGATGAAATACAAAATGTGCTGGTGTAGTGGGCTGGAGGTGTAGTCAATACCCTGATTAGGCAGGACACTGTTATCTTAGCCTGTTGTGTGTACTTAAAAATGCCTCTGGCCTGGGCGTGGGAGTTCATGCTTGTAATCGCATATCGCTAGAGCCCAGGAGTTTGAGACCAGCCTGGACAACATGGTGAAAACCCTCGTTGCTACTAAAAATACAAAAAAATTAGCCAGATGTTGTGGCACATGGCCTGTATTCTCAGCTACTTGGGGGCTGAAGCACGAGGATTGCTTGAGCTTGGGATGCTGAGGCTGAAGTGAGACCTGACTGTGCCACTGCACTCCAGCCTGGGAGACAAAGTGAGACCCTGTCTCCAAATGAAATTTTTTAAAAAAATGCCTTTGGCTCCTGTGTATCCAGTGGATTAGAGGGAATGAGGAGGGTAAAACTTTACTGGTTTTACATTAAAAATTTACTCTTAGCATGTAAGATAGTGACCACCTAGGGTCCCCTGTTTCATCCACATTTTTCTTATGGCATTTTTTACCTTGATGCCCCTCAGGGTATAGATCAGAGGATTTAACATGGGTGCAACAATAGTAAAGGAAATAGCCATATCCTTGTCTATGGGGTAAGTGACCACAGGTCTTATGTACAAGAAAATACACTCCACGAAGAACAAGATGACCACTGTGTGGTGGGAGCCACAGGTGGAAAGTGTGTTGCGTCAACCTACCGAGCTGCAAGACTTCAGAGAGTACAGGGTGACAATGTAGGATGCAATTAGGATAAGGAAGATGGCCATACACATCACCCCACTGTTGAGGATGACTAAGAGACCCAGCATGTGGGTGTCCATGTAAGCAAGTTTTAACAATGGAAACAAATCACATATAAAATGGTCAATAATATTGGGACCACAGAAGGGTATTTGATATATGAAAAAAAAAAAGCTGTATTGTGGCATGTGTTAATCCCCCCACCCAAGCTTCTACCACCAACAGCAGCACACCCGTGGACTCATGATGGTTGTGTCATGCAGGGGCTTACTGATGGCCTCATAGCAGTCACAGACCATCACAGTGAGAAGGATGATCGCTACACCATCAGAGAAATGCTCTGCAAAGAGCTGGGTCATGCAGCCTTCAAGGGAAATGGTAGTGTTCTCAAAGAGTCCACAGTCATCTTAGGGGCAGTGATGGAAGAGTAGGTGGCACCCATGAGAGACAAGGAAGTAAGGGAAAAGTACATAGGTGATCTCAGACTCCAACTTGCAGCCAGAGTCACCACAATGAATAGATTTCCCAACACTGTGGTCACATACATGGCTAGAAACAAAGCAGAGAATATTTTCCTTAGTTCTGGATTTTTTGTAATGCCCAAAAGAATGAATTCAGTCTCATTATTTGAAGTCCCCATTTAAGACGGGCTGATGAATGCCTATTGTTCTGAGCTGAAAAATCTTCAAAATCAGCATGATTTTGAATTAGTAATCACCAGGTATGTTGGGTATTTTTTGTACTCTGTCTCACACCCTCTTAACCTACACTTTTTCTTTAGTTGTTGCTACAGAAAACAGCTTCTAGGAATTAAAACCTTGCAGCAGCTTCATCCTACTGATCCCCACAACGATGCCTCCTTTCACTGGTGCAACTCTCTTGCATTCTGTTGCAGTGCATGCTGCTGTGACACATAGGAGACACTGCCTCATCATTCTAGTGCACACATCTGAAAATAAGAAGGGAATAACACACTTGACCATCAGTAACTAGGAGCCAATTGATAAATGGTAATCACCTTAACACCATCTTGGGTTAACTTTCTTTCCTTCCCTGTTTCACTCTCCCCAATACCTTTATTCTGTTTTCTGAAATAAACTACTTATATACAAGACGTTCTCTTAGCCTTTGCTTTTGGGTAATTTCAAGCTAGGATGCTGACATTCATTTCATTAACACACCCAAGAAAATGTCATATAAATTTTCACTTATTTATTCCATACATTTATTGAGCTAGCTGAGAGCTGGTTAAGAGTCTTGTAGGCTCTTGATGACATTGATACCGTGTCACCAAATTAACAGCACAGTTCACATCCTGAAGATTATTCACTTATTAACAACTATACTTTTTTTAATCTACATGTCTTTTTTCCAAATTTGAATGATTATCATTATTATTACATATTTCTGATATTCAGTTAGTCCCTACTGTGTCTCAGTCAGTGGAATATCCTATGAGATACTCTTAGATATTTGATACTGAGGCTTAAAGAGGTGAAGAAAAGTGACACCAATTTCCCACCACTAGTAAACACTGAAGTAAAACTCAAATCCAGCTTTTCCTTATTCTAAAATTCATACAAACAACAATCTTTATTGCTTATTTTGTAATATCAAATACTCAATATGGAGGAAATAGTGTCCTTTATAATTTCATTTTCATAACAATCCAGTAAGATAGATTTATGCATCCTGGGATTATTTTATTCAAAACTTCTGTAATAAAATCCAATGAAAATCCCATAATTAAGATCATATTCTCATTATATATATGTATATTGGAATATGTATGTTCCAATCCTGAAACTAGAAGGTACAATGATTAACTAAGTTTTCAAGTATTCTAATCATTGTCCAGATATGCTTATTAAAGAAAATTTAATCTTAAGCCTCTTTCTGTGCTGCAAGAAGACTCAGATGTACAGCTTAACTGACACCATCCCTGCACATAAGTCTAAATCACTCTAAATCATTCTGTGGATAATGTAAATCCATATCACGCCTTCATTACTCACTTTCTCACTTCCAATTTTCCTTATGAAAGGCTGCTACCAGATAAAAGAAAGGATTCTAAAGAATAATCAAAATATCAATTAAAAACTTTTATTTTGTACTCACTATGTATTGTCAATGAACTGCATCTATTATATGCATAATTGCATTTATTTTTTGTATCATACAAGATGTGCACTATAAAAAAAATCTTCTCTTCAGGATGAGGAAACTGAGGCTTGGAGATGTTAAATATCTCATCTAAGATGAGTGGGAATTATGAATTTAGGTAACCTCATCTTGAAGCATAAGTTCTGAATCTTTATGTTGTATCTCTAAAGAAGTGAACAGCAGCCTTGGCTGGCTAAATGCAATTGCTAGCACAGACAAATGACATGGTAAGGGAACTGATTCAGTAAATAGCAAATTTATCTTTGTTAAAGACACTTAAATAGAGTCTGTGTGCCACTTGGTTAGAATACATTAGAGACAACTGCTTTAAATGGAGATGTAAACTCTGTTCCCTAAGACTTTTCTAAATACCTAGAGGCCCATTCTTAGTATTCTGCACTTTACTAAATAGACAGCTGCCAAAAGATTTTTTTGTAGATCAGTAATAGGTTACTAAACCCAACCTCTCCCACCTGCAGCCCAAGAACTTCTAAAGTTCTTGAATAGTTCTAATGAAGTAGAGAGAACACAATCCTGGAAATCAGTGCAACTGGATTTCATACCTTTGTTGTCCGTCTAATTCCTAAATCATGTTATTACATTACTCACTACTCTGGGCCTCAATTTATTTCCTCATCTGCAGTATGGGGTGGTTGTAGTAGATGAGTGGAATGCTAGGAATTCAAAGAAGCCACCTCAGGGACTGCGTCCTTTCCAAACTCAGCAGCTTGCTTCTTCTTCTTTTTTTTTTTTTTTTTATAGGTGCGCTGCACCCACTAACTCGTCATCTAGCATTAGGTATATCTCCCAATGCTATCACTCCCCCCTCCCCCCACCCCACCACAGTCCCCAGAGTGTGATATTCCTCTTCCTGTGTCCATGTGATCTCATTGTTCAATTCCCACCTATGAGTGAGAATATGCGGTGTTTGGTTTTTTGTTCTTGCGATAGTTTACTGAGAATGATAATTTCCAATTTCATCCATGTCCCTACAAAGGACATGAACTCATCATTTTTTATGGCTGCATAGTATTCCATGGTGTATATGTACCACATTTTCCTAATCCAGTCTATCATTGTTGGACATTTGGGTTGGTTCCAAGTCTTTACTATTGTGAATAATGCCACAATAAACATACATGTGCATGTGTCTTTATAGCAGCATGATTTATAGTCATTTGGGTATATACCCAGTAACGGGATGGCTGAATAGACATCTACAGAACTCTCCACCCCAAATCAATAGAATATACATTTTTTTCAGCACCACAGCACACCTATTCCAAAATTGAACACATAGTTGGAAGGAAAGCTCTCCTCAGCAAACAAAAAAGAACAGAAATTACAACAAACTATCTCTCAGACCACAGTGCAATCAAACTAGAACTCAGGATTAAGAGTCTCACTCAAAGCCGCTCAACTACATGGAAACTGAACAACCTGCTCCTGAATGACTACTGGGTACATAACGAAATGAAGGCAGAAATAAAGATGTTCTTTGAAACCAACGAGAACAAAGACACAACATAGCAGAATCTCTGGGATGCATTCAAAGCAGTGTGTAGAGGGAAATTTATAGCACTAAATGCCCACAAGAGAAAGAAGGAAAGATCCAAAATTGACACCCTAACATCACAATTAAAAGAACTAGAAAAGAAGAGCAAACACATTCAAAAGCTAGCAGAAGGCAAGAAATAACTAAAATCAGAGCAGAACTGAAGGAAATAGAGACACAAAAACCCTTCAAAAAATCAATGAATCCAGGAGCTGGTTTTTTAAAGGATCAACAAAATTGATAGACCGCTAGCAAGACTAATAAAGAAAAAAAAGAGAGAGGAATCAAATAGACACAATAAAAAATGATAAAGGGGATATGACCACTGATCCCACAGAAATACAAACTACCATCAGAGAATACTACAAACACCTCTACGCAAATAAACTAGAAAATCTAGAAGAAATGGATAAATTCCTCGACACATACACTCTCCCAAGACTAAACCAAGAAGAAGTTGAATCTCTGAATAGACCAATAACAGGAGCTGAAATTGTGGCAATAATCAATAGTTTACCAACCAAAAAGAGTCCAGGACCAGATGGATTCACAGCCGAATTCTACCAGAGGTCCAAGGAGGAGCTGGTACCATTCCTTCTGAAAGTATTCCAATCAATAGAAAAAGAGGGAATCCTCCCTAACTCATTTTATGAGGCCAGCATCATTCTGATACCAAAGCCTGGCAGAGACACAACCAAAAAAGAGAATTTTAGACCAATATCCTTGATGAACATTGATGCAAATATCCTCAATAAAATACTGGCAAACCGAATCCAGCAGCACATCAAAAAGCTTATCCACCATGATCAAGTGGGCTTCATCCCTGGGATGCAAGGCTGGTTCAATATACGAAAAGCAATAAATGTGATCCAGCATATAAACAGAGCCAAAGACAAAAACCACATGATTATCTCAATAGATGCAGAAAAAGCCTTTGACAAAATTCAACAACCCTTCATGCTAAAAACTCTTGATAAATTAGGTATTGATGGGACGTTTTTCAAAATAATAAGAGCTATCAATGACAAACCCACAGCCAATATCATACTGAATGGGCAAAAACTGGAAGCATTCCCTTTGAAAACTGGCACAAGACAGGGATGCCCTCTCTCACCACTCCTATTCAACATAGTGTTGGAAGTTCTGGCCAGGGCAATCAGTCAGGAGAAGGAAATAAAGGGTATACAATTAGAAAAAAGGAAGTCAAATTGTCCCTGTTTGCAGACGACATGATTGTGTATATAGAAAACCCCATTGTCTCAGCCCAAAATCTCCTTAAGCTGATAAGCAACTTCAGCAAAGTCTCAGGATACAAAATCAATGTACAACAATCACAAGCATTCTTATACACAAACAACAGACAAACAGAGAGCCAAATCATGAGTGAACTCCCATTCACAATTGCTTCAAAGAGAATAAAATACCTAGGAATCCAACTTACAAGGGATGTGAAGGACCTCTTCAAGGAGAACTACAAACCACTGCTCAATGAAATAAAAGAGGATACAAACAAATGGAAGAACATTCCATGCTCATGGGTAGGAAGAATCAATATCGTGAAAATGGCCATACTGCCCAAGGTAATAGATAGATTCAATGCCATCCCCATCAAGCTACCAATGACTTTCTTCACAGAATTGGAAAAAACTACTTGAAAGTTCATATGGAAACAAAAAAGAGCCCACATCGCCAAGTCAATCCTAAGCCAAAAGAACAAAGCTGGAGGCATCACACTACCTGACTTCAAACTATACTACAAGGCTTCAGTAACCAAAATGGCATGGTACTGGTACCAAAACAGAGATATAGATCAATGGAACAGAACAGAGCCCTCAGAAATAACGCCGCCTACCTACAACTATCTGATCTTTGACAAACCTGAGAAAAACAAGCAAAGGGGAAAGGATTCCCTATTTAATAAATGGTGCTGGGAAAACTGGCTAGCCATATGTAGAAAGCTGAAACTGAATCCCTTCCTTACACCTTATACAAAAATCAATTCAAGATGGATTAAAGATTTAAACGTTAGACCTAAAACCATAAAAACACTAGAAGAAAACCTAGGCATTACCATTCAGGACAGAGGCATGGGTAAGGACTTCATGTCCAAAACACCAAAAGCAATGGCAACAAAAGCCAAAATTGACAAATGGGATATAATTAAACTCAAGAGCTTCTGCACAGCAAAAGAAACTACCATCAGAGTGAACAGGCAACCTACAAAATGGGAGAAAATTTTCGCAACCTACTCATCTGACAAAGGGCTAATATCCGGAATCTACAATGAACTCAAACAAATTTACAAGAAAAAAACAAACAACCCCATCAAAAAGTGGGTGAAGTACATGAACAGACACTTCTCAAAAGAAGACATTTATGCAGCCAAAAAACACATGAAAAAATGCTCATCATCACTGGCCATCAGAGAAATGCAAATCAAAACCACGATGAGATACCATCTCACACCAGTTAGAATGGCAATCATTAAAAAGTCAGGAAACAACAGGTGCTGGAGAGGATGTGGAGAAATAGCAGCTTGCTTCTTATCTGTATTAAGCATTTACACTTTCAAGTAAGATTTTCTTTGCGCAATCTCAAAACCTAAAATATTTTAAAATGGTGTACACTATACAATAATAATAATAATGTCCTTTCTGCCTTAAAATCTATGAATCTATCTTATTTGACTTCTAATACACATCTCCACTTCTCAGCCTGACATCCAAGCCTCTTTCCCATAGTAACCAACCTCTCTTTTTGTAGTCTTCCTCCACTGCAGTCAAACCCAACTCTTACTACCAGAGCCTTAGCCTGTCTTCCGCAGTGGAAAAGTTCGTAGGTCCAGAGGGATCAGACTTACTCTCTGCCCCAATCTGCCACTTACTGACAACAAAAACTTCAAATCTTGTGAAAATAAGACAACGCAATCATAACTAAAGTCGATGTGCAGAGTACTCACTATTTCAGGGTACTGTGCAAAGATTTTCATGATTTTTTATTTTAATTATCACAAAAGCCATATGAATAGATAGACACTATAGTTATCCTTACTTTCTGCTGCAGTGGATAGTTTTGGGTAACTAGTGAAACTGATTAAGCCTGTGGGTGAGTAATGCCATAAAGTTCACAGCACAGACCACTAACCTCTGTGCTCTACAACCTATCCAAGAATTTTGTGTCTGCCTCCAGCACTTTCGCAAGAATTACAGGAAGTAACAAGCATAATAATATTTGGAGAGCACTTTTCAGATATTCATCATTATTATTTTCCATTCATATAAGCTCCCGACCGTCTGCTGCCTCTCCCCTCTGTTAACAGAGGGCCCTCTATTACCCTTTCTCCTTAATGCTTCACTTCCTCCCCAATGTCCCCCTTCGTCCTGGATATTTGTTACATGCACCTGTAGAGGTTGCATATTAGCAATAATTAAATTGTCTTTTTTGTTAATGTTTTTAATATCATGTTGACTTTATCTTCCTCTGGGCATGCTTAAGGGTGGCTAATTTATTCTCTTCCCACCCCATTTCTAATGTTGTTCTGTGTACATACTTAAAATTTAATTAAATTAATTAAATCTATGCAATTGATTTCACCCAAGGAAAACCGGAATGAACCGTGGGGCCCAGGCAATGGCAGTGCCAGTCCCTGCTTCCAGGAACAAAAGTGCTGTTGTCAGAGGTTGATTGTTCTGCCATCCAGGCTCAAATACCCCACTTACCATCTCCCATCTTTATGATTTCCATTTCTAGGCATGCTTTAGCCAGACTCAAGAGCTGAACCATAACTTGGACTTCCAGTTTAGTATTGAATCTCAGTCAACCATGCTGGTAAACGGCAAACACTCTACAGTGTATTGCATTGTCAGTGGTTTTTGTTTGTTGGTTGGTTGGTTGGTTTTGTTTTGCTTTGTTTTTGAGGCAGGGTCTTACTCTGTCACCAAGCTGGAGTGGAGTGGCACAATCACTGTTCAAGGCAGCCTCGGCAACCTGGGTTTAAACAATCCTCCCATCTCAGTCTCCCCAAGTAGCTGGAACTACAGGCACACACCACCACACCCAGCTACTTTTTTGTATTTTTTTGTAGGGACAGGGTTTCACCATGTTGCCCAGGCTGGCCTCAAACTCATAGGCTCAAGTGATCCACCTGCCTTAGCCTTCCAAAGTGTTGGGATTATAGGTGTGAGCCACCATGCTGGGCCACCAGTGTTATTTGAATCTAGTGTTTTGTGTGTTTGCATCCCATCATGTCTACAAAACACCCATTTGTTTACAGTATTCAACACTTTACTATAAATAAGGCTTTGTGTTAGATGATTTTGACCAACTGTAAGCCAATGTAAAGTGTTCTGAGCATGTTTAAAGTATACCGGCTGAGATTTGATGCTCTGTAGGTTAGGTGTATTAAAGGTATTTTCAACTTTATCAGGATATAACACCATCATAAGTCAAAGAGGACATGTATTGTCATTTATTTCCAGAATTTCTGCAAAATATCATTGTTCAAAAGACTGCTTATTTAAAGGATTGGGGACTTGCATTTCTTCAGGTGTCTACTTATTATGTAGACATTATTTTTTTCTAGTTTCAGAGTACATCCAATGGTGTGAGAAACAAAAGGAAGTGTTCTATCCATAAAGAAGAATACAGAATAAGCACCTATGAAACCATGCATGTAGGATATAAACTTCAGAATGAAAAAATACCCTTTAAGTCTGCACATTTCAAAGGAGATGAAATGAGCTAGGCCTTGGCATGAGAATTTAGAAAATCCTAACTTTATAATTTATAAAGTGAGCAACAAGGACAACAGCATGAGCAAGGAAAAATGTGGTGAACGTGGGTGAAATGTATGGACTTTGACATCCCCCAAAACCTGGATTTTATTATAGACTTCCAGGGATATAATTTACTACAGGTTATACATTATCTGTAAATCATAGTTGCTTTTCTTAGTGTTGCATTAAACATATTAAATACCTAGCATTTATGGTTTATACTTAAATGTTTAAACTTACAGATATTAAAATATAATAAAATATTAATATTAAATTATAATTTAAATATTTATTAAACACTATACTATCCAGTATATTGTAAGTATCTCATAAAATTTAGTCACATACACCCCTACTGGATCTAGGTGCAAGATGCCTTGAGTAGACACAACTGGCTAGACTGGAGTTTAATTGGGAATGGATAGTAAGGGTTATAATCATATATAAACCATGTAAAAATCCCGGTTTTACAAATTACAGTTGTTCTTCAGTCTCAGCACCTATTATATGCCAGACAAAATCCTTGTGCCTCAGTTTCATTTTCTATAAAGTGACAAATTAGTGTCACCAATCTCAAAAAGTTTTGTAAGGATTAAATGAGTTTATAAATATAAAGGGCTTAGATTAGCATCCCCACTTATTTTTTCAGGATGAGGAGAATGATACTGAACACAAACTATCTTTAAAAATATCCCTGTTTGTCTGTTATTGGTCTATAAGAATGCTTGTGATTTTTGTGCATTGATTTTGTATCCTGACACTTTGCTGAAGTTGCTTATCAGCTTAAGGAGATTTTGGGCTGAGACAATGGGGTTTTCTAGATATACAATCATGTCGTCTGCAAACAGGGACAATTTGACTTCCTCTTTTCCTAATTGAATACCATTTATTTCCTTCTCCTGCCTAATTGCCCTGGCCAGAACTTCCAGCACTACGTTGAATAGGAGTGGTGAGAGAGGGCATCCCTGTCTTGTGCCAGTTTTCAAAGGGAATGCTTCCAGTTTTTGCCCATTCAGTATGATATTGGCTATGGGTTTGCCATAGATAGCTCTTATGATTTTGAGATACGTCCCATCAATACCTAATTTACTGAGCATTTTTAGCATGAAGGGCTGTTGAATTTTGTCAAAGGCCTTTTCTGCATCTATTGAGATAATCATGTGGTTTTTGTCTTTGGTTCTGTTTATATGCTGGATTACGTTTATTGATTTTCATATGTTGAACCAGCCTTGCATCCCAGGGATGAAGCCCACTTGATCATGGTGGATAAGCTTTTTGATGTGCTGCTGGATTCGGTTTGCCAGTATTTTATTGAAGATTTTTGCATCATACACCAATAACATACAAACAGAGAGCCAAATCATGAGAGAACTCCCATTACAATTGCTTCAAAGAGAATAAAACACCTAGGAATCCAACTTACAAGGGATGTGAAGGACCTCTTCAAGGAGAACTACAAACCACTGCTCAATGAAATAAAAGAGGATACAAACAAATGGAAGAACATTCCATGCTCATGGGTAGGAATAATCAATATTGCAAAAATAGCCATACTGCCCAAGGTAATTTATAGATTCATTGCCATCCCCATCCAGTTACCAATGACTTTCTTCACAGAATTGGAAAAAACTACTTTCAAGTTCATATGGAACCAAAAAAGAGACCACATTGCCAAGTCAATCTGAAGCCAAAAGAACAAAGCTGGAGGCATCATGCTACCTGACTTGAAACTATACTACAAGGCTACGGTAACGAAAACAGCATGGTACTGGTACCAAAACAGAGATATAGACCAATGGAACAGAACAGAGCCCTCAGAAATAATGCCACATATCTACAACCATCTGATCTTTGACAAACCTGACAAAAACAAGCAATGGGGAAAGGATTCCCTATTTAATAAATGGTGCTGGGAAAACTGGCTAGCCATATGGAGAAAGCTGAAACTGGATCCCTTCCTTACACCTTATACAAAAATTAATTCAAGATGGATTAAAGACTTAAATGTTAGACCTAAAAGGATAAAAACCCTAGAAGAAAACCTAGGCAATACCATTCAGGACATAGGCATGGGCAAGGACTTCATGTCTAAAACACCAAAAGCAATGGCAAAAAAAGCCAAAATTGACAAATGAGATCTAATTAAACTCAAGAGCTTCTGCACAGCAATAGAAACTACCATCAGAGTGAACAGGCAACCTGCAGAATGGGAGAAAATTTTTGCAATCTACTCATCTGACAAAGGGCTAATATCCAGAATCTACAATGAACTCAAACAAATTTATGAGAAAAAAACAAACAACCCTATCAAAAAGTAGGTGATAGATATGAACAGACACTTCTCAAGAGGACATTTATGCAGCCAAAAAACACATGAAAATGTGCTCATCACTGGCCATTAGAGAAATGCAAATCAAAACCACAATGAGATAACATCTCACACCAGTTAGAATGGTGATCATTAAAAAGTCAGAAAACAACAGGTGCTGGAGAGGATGTGGAGAAACAGGAACACTTTTACACTGTTGGTGGGACTGTAAACTAGTTCAACCACTGTGGAAGTCAGTGTGGTGATTCCTCAGGGATCTAGAACTAGAAATACCATTTGACCCAGCCATCCCATTACTGGGTATATACCCAAAGTGTTATAAATCATGCTGCTATAAAGACACATGCATACATGTGTTTATTGTGGCACTATTCACAATAGCAAAGATTTGGAACCAACCCAAATGTCCAACAATGATAGACTGGATTAAGAAAATGTGGCACATATACACCATGGAATACTATGAAGCCATAAAAAATGATGAGTTCATGTCCTTTTTAGGGACATAGATGAAGCTGGAAACCATCATTCTCATCAAACTATCTCAGGGACAAAAAACCAAACACCACATGTTCTCACTCATAGGTGGGAATTGAAGAATGAGAACACATGAACAGAGGAAGGGGAATATCACATGCCAGGGACTGTTGTGGGGTGGGGAGAGGGGAGAGGGATAGCATTAGGAGATTTCTAATGCTAAATGACAAGTTAATGGGTGCAGCACACCAATGTGGCACATGTGTACATATGTAACAAACCTGGACATTGTGCACATGTACCCTAAAACTTGAAGTATAATAATAATAAAATAAAATAAAAAATAAAAAAAAAAATCCCTTGGAAGTTCTGGCCAGCGCAATCGGGCAAGAGAAAGAAATAAAGAGTATTCAAATAGGAACAGAGGAATTCAAATCATCTCTGTTTGCAGATGACATGACTGTATATTTAGAAAACCCATTTATCTCAGCCCAAAAACTCCTTAAACTAATAAGCAACTTAAGCAAAGTCTCAGGATACAAAATCAATGTGAAAAATTGCAAGCATTCCTATACACCAATAATAGACAAGCAGAGCGAAAAATATGAGTATGTTCTCATTCACAATTGCTACAAAAAGAATAAAATATCTAGGAATACAACTTCAAAGGATGTGAAGGACTTCTTCAAGGAGAACTACAAACCACTGCTCAAGGAAATAAGAGGGGACACGAACAAATGGAAACAAAATTCCATGATCATGGATAGCAAGAATCAATATCATGAAAATGGTCATACTGCCCCCCAAAATTTATAGATTCAATGCTATTCCATCAAGTACCATTGACTTTCTTCACAGAATTAGAACAAAAACTACTTTAAATTTTATATGGAAACAAATAGAACCCACATACCTAAGACAATCCTAAGCAAAAAGAGCAAAGCTGGAGGCATCACACTACCTGTCTTGAAGCTATACTACAAGCCTACAGTAACCAAAACAGCATGGTACTGTTACCAAAATACATATATAGGTCAATGGAATAGAACAGAGTCCTCAGAAATAACGCCACACATCTGCAGCCACCTGATCTTCGACAAACCTGACAAAAACTAGCAATGGGGAAATGTTTCCCTATTTAATATATGGTGCTGGGAAAACTGGTTAGCCATATGCAGAAAACTGAAACTGTACTCCTTTCTTACACCTTATAAAAAAAACTAACTCAAGATGGATTAAAGACTGAAATGTAAAACCTAAAACCATAAAAACCCTAGAAGAAAACCTAGGCAATACCATTCAGGATATAGGTATGGGAAATGACTATATTTCATGAATAAAACATCAAAAGCAATGGCAACAGAAGCCAAAATTGACAGATGGGATCTAATTAAACTAAAAAGCCTCTGCACAGCAAAAGAATCTATCATCTGAGTGAACAGGCAACCTACAGAATGGGAGAAAATTTTTTCAATCTATCCATCTGACAAAGGTCTAATATCCAGAATCTACAAGGAACTTAAACAAATTTACAAGAAATAAACAAACAGCTCCCTCAAAAAGTGGGTGAAGAATATGAACAAACACTTCTCAAAAGAAGACATTTATGCGGCCAAAAACCATATAAAAAAAGCTCATCATCCCTGTGCATTAGAGAAATGCAAATCAAAACCACAATGAGATACCATCTCAAGCCAGTTAGAATGTCAATCATTAAAAAGTCATGAAACAACAGATGCTGGTGAAGATGTAGAGAACAGAAATGCTTTTACACTGTTGGTGGAAGTGTGAATTAGTTCAACCATTGTGGAAGACAGTATAGTGATTCCTAAAGGATCTAGAACCAGCAATACCATTTATTTAACCCAGCAATCTCATTACTGGGTATATACCCAAAGGATTATAAATCATTCTACTATAAAGACACATGCACACATATGTTTATTGAAGAATTATTTACAATAACAAAGACATGGAACCAACCTAAATGTGCATCAATGATAGACTGGAAAAAGAAAATGTGGCAGATACATACCCAGGAAAACTATGAAGCCATAAAAAAGGATGAGTTCATGTCTTTTGCAGGGACATGGATGAAGCTGGAAACCATCATTCTCAGAAAACTAACACAGGAATAGAAAACCAAACACCACATGTTCTTACTCATAAGTGGTAGTTGAACAATGAGAACACATAGACACAGGGAGGGGAACATCACACACTGGGGACTGTCAGGGGGTGAGGAGCAATGGGAGGGAGAGCATTAGGACAAATACCTAATGCATCCGGGGCTTAAAACCTAGATGATGGGTTGACAGGTGCAGCAAACCACCATGGCACATGTATACCTATGTAACAAACCTGCACGTTCTACACATGTATACCAAAACTTAAAGTAAAATAAAATAAAATAAATTTCCTGCCTTCGAATATATCTTCAAGAAACATGTGTTTAGATATACTTCTATTAAATACTCTATTGGCTAGCAGAATATCAGCCTAATGATTTCCCAACACGCAGCAGAATGTAAGTTTTTGAATTGACTTTAAAAGACAAGTCTTCCAAAACCATTTCCTAAAACACCTGCAGTTCTAACCAAAAGTAAAATTATTTAAATAAAACAAGTGTTTTTCACTGGTATTCTTATAAATTATGAAGGCAAAGAATGGCTCTTGAAAAATATTTTATACAAAGTAATGGAAAGGTTAAAGTCAAAGGATACTTCCAATCCCAAGGACTCACTTGCTTCTCTAGTGATGGATATAAGTAACTTCATTTAATCGTTCCACAATGTATGGATATATCCAAACATTATATTGTACTCCATAAACATAGACAATTGTTTTTTGTTAATTAAAAATTTTAAAATAAAAGAAGTTTAGTTCATGTTCTTCAAAAGGTCATTTGTATGTAGGTATATTGTATAAGTGCTGTCATTTATATATAAAAATATATAAAATATATTAATATGCTAGAAATTTTAATCTGTTTGCATGGGTGGGCATTATCTAATGACAGTATTTATGAATTATCCTTTTCTTAAATTGCTTAATATTATTTCATTTTATAGTTGCATCACAATTCTTTTAATCAATGCATTTTTACTTGACATTATGTTGTTTATAATATCCCACCTTTCACATAATGTTGCAATGAACAACACTTTACAGACATCTTTACTTACTGATTTGAATATTCCAGTTGGAGAAATTCCTAGAAATGTCATCACAAAGACAAAATGAATTTATATGCTTCACATTTATAGATTCTATAATGTTACTCTCGAAATCCTATACTAGATTTTATCACCATTAATATTATATTAAAGAGTAATCTTCCTCATAGCCTTACTCACACTAAATATTATCAATCTTGGTTATATTCACCAAATAATAAAATGAAAAATAATATGTTGTTTTCATTTGCATTCATTCAATTATTCAATCATAGAATTTAATTGATGATATAAACAATAAACTTATTTTTGGTCTCCAAATAAAGCTAAATTAAAATCAGTGTAATATCTAAATATAGATACATCATTTATACACAGATATCCAGATTGAACTACTGATAATTAATACATTAGTTAGCACTTCCTACCTACCAAACATTTTGCTAATATTTTATAGCTGTTTACATGTTTAGTCTTCACATCTGACTATGACGTGACACATTTTATGGCTTCAAAAAAGCAAAATAATTAATTTGCTCACAGCGATACGGTTTGGAAGTGATAGTCATGTGAATCCAGGAAACTCACCTTATAGCTCGTATGTCTATCTTGTGTCTGAATTCCTTATGGGGGCTAAATAATTTCTTCAGTAAAATCTTGAATGGTAAAAAGGTGGCAGTGGTGTGTTTAGTGAGTGACTCTGGGTCATCATTTTTAACTAGCAATCTGTGACCTTGTGTTCCTTGGAAGATATCTACCCTAAACATATGCACCATTATTAATTTTCTTAATTCACTTTTCTTTCCTTGAGAGATGAGTGGAGGGAGAATTATCTTCATAGCACTTTTCTAGGATGAAAATTACTATAACAGTGTAGATTAAAATGTTGATGTTTTCTTGGAATGCTTCCAGAGGAAGAGGGCTTAGTCCCTAAACAAGCTTTCTTGACTTCACCATCCCATTCCCAAGCAAATCACCAGCATCATCCTCAGAACCAACATCACGTCTGTGGGCAGGGCTGCTCACAAATAAATGTGCATGGTTTTATATTGATAAATACATTTTTACAACACAATTCATCTTTTCATTAAAAATGAAAACCTGAATTTGAAGTATTAACTAATTCAAATAGACACAACCTAATTTCTTTCTTAAAACGTATTAGTAGAAAAATAAAGATTAAATGAAACTGGAACAAGAGGAAAGCAGAAATGGATATATAATATATATACACAGAGAGAGAGTCAAATGAAAGAAGAGAAACAGAAGATCTCTCTGAAAACCATACTAGGCATACCAGCTATAACTGTTCCTCCTTTTCCTAAGAGCACATTTCTAGAATATTAATACACTATTTTATTTTCTAATCTTAATTATCTGGATAGAGGCCAAAAGGTAGATACTTAATTTTGATAGCTTGTCAAAAAGATTAAAGCAAATCAAGCTAGAAACTGATGATAAAGTCTCTCCATTCTGAGATCTGAATTTACATATACAAATAAAACAAGGAAATTAATGGGCATTTTAAGCATAATATGATAGTGCATGCAATTAGGTGATTCAATTATTTTAACAGTTTCAAAATAGTAGCTCAAATTAATAGGAACATGTTTAATGCTCGAATAAAAATTTAAGGTCATCACCAAAGTTCATTTGGTGTTTGGTGTCATCTCTGTGACTCCCAAAAGCCAGTTACCTGATGATCCCGCTAAGTAGAAGGCAGAGATTATGCAAGTAAACTTTCTTAAGATCATGTCAGTGGGACTGAAAGTCTGGCCCCATCCAGTATGTACTCACGTGAACTTTCTTCTACAGAAGAGCTAGGAATCACAACACATTAGAGGGTCAAAGTAAGTAAGGACCGCCCAAAAAATAAATCATCTCATCATTTAATGGAAAGTTGATAGGGCTAGAGTTTCTAGTGATTTTAAAGAAATATTTCAGGAGCCAAGATGGCCGAATAGGAACAGCTCCAGTCTACAGCTCCCAGCCTGAGCGAAGCAGAAGACGGGTGATTTCTGCATTTCCATCTGAGGTACCTGGTTCATCTCACTAGGGAGTGCCAGACAGTGGGTGCAGGTCAGTGGGTGCACACACCGTGCACGAGCTGAAGCAGGGTGAGGCATTGCCTCACTCAGGAAGCACAAGGGGTCAGGGAGTTCCCTTTTCTAATCAAAGAAAGGGGTGACGGATGGCACCTGGAAAATCGGGTCACTCCCACCCGAATACTGCGCTTTTCAGACTGGCTTAAAAAACGGCGCACTACGAGATTATATCCCGCACCTGGCTCAGAGGGCCCTACACCCAAGGAGTCTCACTGATTGCTAGCACAGCAGTCTGAGATCAAACTGCAAGGCAGCAGCGAGGCTGGGGGAGGGGCGCCCACCATTGCCTAGCCTTGCTTAGGTAAACAAAGCAGCCAGGAACCTCGAACTGGGTGGAGCCCACAACAGCTCAAGGAGGCCTGCTTGCCTCTGTAGGCTCCACTTCTGGGGGCAGGGCACAGACAAACAAAAAGACAGCAGTAACCTCTGCAGAGTTAAATGTCCCTGTCTGACAGCTTTGAAGAGAGCAGTGGTTCTCCCAGCACTCAGCTGGAGATCTGAGAACGGACAGACTGCCTCCTCAAGTGGGACACTGACCCCTGAGCAGCCTAACTGGGAGGCACCCCCCAGCAGGGGCACACTGACATCTCACACTGCAGGTTACTCCAACAGACCTGCAGCTGAGAGTCCTGTCTGTTAGAAGGAAAACTAACAAACAGAAAGGACATCCACACCAAAAACCTATCTGTGCATCACCATCATCAAAAACCAAAAGTAGATAAAACCACAAAGATGGGGAAAAAACAGAACAGAAAAACTGGAAACTCTAAAAAGCAGAGCGCCTCTCCTCCTCCAAAGGAACGCAGCTCCTCACCAGCAATGGAACAAAGCTGGATGGAGAATGACTTTGACGAGCTGAGAGAAGAAAGCTTCAGACGATCAAATTACTCTGAGCTATGGGAGGACATTCAAACCAAAGGCAAAGAAGTTGAAAACTTTGAAAAAAATTTAGAAGAATGTATAACTAGAATAACCAATGAAGAGAAGTGCTTAAAGGAGCTGATGGAGCTGAAAACCAAGGCACGAGAACTACGTGAGGAATGCAGAAGCCTCAGCAGCCAATGCGATCAACTGGAAGAAAGGGTATCAGCAATGGAAGATGAAATGAATGAAATGAAGTGGAAGAGAAGTTTAGAGAAAAAAGAATAAAAAGAAATGAGCAAAGCCTCTAAGAAATATGGGACTATGTGAAAAGACCAAATCTATGTCTGATTGGTGTACCTGAAAGTGATGTGGAGAATGGAACCAAGTTAGAAAACACTCTGCAGGATATTATCCAGGAGAACTTCCCCAATCTAGCAAGGCAGGCCAACGTTCAGATTCAGGAAATACAGAGAATGCCACAAAGATACTCCTCGAGAAGAGCAACTCCAAGACACATAATTGACAGATTCACCAAAGTGGAAATGAAGGAAAAAATGTTAAGGGCAGCCAGAGAGAAAGGTCGGGTTACCCACAAAGGGAAGCCCATCAAACTAACAGTGGATCTCTCAGCAGAAACCCTACAAGCCAGAAGAGAGTGGGGGCCAATATTCAACATTCTTAAAGAAAAGAATTTTCAACCCAGAATTTCATATCCAGCCAAACTAAGCTTCATAAGTGAAGGAGAAATAAAATCTTTTACAGACAAGCAAATGCTGAGAGATTTTGTCACCACCAGGCCTGCCCTAAAAGATCTCCTGAAGGAAGCACTAAACATGGAAAGGAACAACTGGTACCAGCCGCTGCAAAATCATGCCAAAATGTAAAGACCATCGAGACTAGGAAGAAACTGCATCAACTAACGAGCAAAATAACCAGCTAACATCATAATGACAGGATCCAATTCACACATAACACTATTAACTTTAAATGTAAATGGACTAAATGCTCCAATTAAAAGCCACAGACTGGCAAATTGGATAAAGAGTCAAGACTCACCAGTGTGCTGTATTCAGGAAACCCATCTCATATGCAGAGACACCCATAGGCTCAAAATAAATGGATGGAGGAAGATCTACCAAGCCAATGCAAAACAAAAAAAGGCAGAGGTTGCAATCCTAGTCTCTGATAAAACAGACTTTAAACCAACAAAGATCAAAAGAGACAAAGAAGGCCATTACATAATGGTAAAGGGATCAATTCAACAAGAAGAGCTAACTATCCTAAATATATATGCACCCAATACAGGAGCACCCAGATTCATAAAGCCAGTCCTGAGTGACCTACAAAGAGACTTAGACTCCCACACAATAATAATGGGAGATTTTAACACCCCACTGTCAACATTAGACAGATCAACGAGACAGAAAGTCAACAAGGATACCCAGGAATTGAACTCAGCTCTGCACCAAGTGGACCTAATAGACATCTACAGAACTCTCCACCCCAAATCAATAGAATATACATTTTTTTCAGCACCACACTACACCTATTCCAAAATTGACCACATACTTGGAAGTAAAGCTCTCCTCAGCAAATGTAAAAGAACAGAAATTATAACAAACTATCTCTCAGACCACAGTGCAATCAAACTAGAACTCAGGATTAAGAATCTCACTCAAAACTGCTCAACTACATGGAAACTGAACAACCTGCTCCTGAATGACTACTGGGTACATAGCGAAATGAAGGCAGAAATAAAGATGTTCTTTGAAACCAACGAGAACAAAGACACAACATAGCAGAATCTCTGGGATGCATTCAAAGCAGTGTGTAGATGGAAATTTATAGCACTAAATGCCCACAAGAGAAAGCAGGAAAGATCCAAAATTGACACCCTAACATCACAATTAAAAGAACTAGAAAAGCAAGAGCAAACACATTCAAAAGCTAGCAGAAGGCAAGAAATAACTAAAATCAGAGTAGAACTGAAGGGAATAGAGACACAAAAACCCTTCAAAAAATTAATGAATCCAGGAGCTGGTTTTTTGAAAGGATCAACAAAATTGATAGACCGCTAGCAAGAATAATAAAGAAAAAAAGAGAGAAGAATCAAATAGACACAATAAAAAATGATAAAGGGGATATGACCACTGATCCCACAGAAATACAAACTACCATCAGAGAATACTACAAACACCTCTACGCAAATAAACTAGAAAATCTAGAGGAAATGGATAAATTCCTTGACACGTACACCCTCCCAAGACTAAACCAGGAAGAAGTTGAATCTCTGCATAGACCAATAACAGGATCTGAAATTGTGGCAATAATCAATAGCTTACCAACCAAAAAGAGTCCAGGACCAGATGGATTCACAGCCGAATTCTACCAGAGGTCCAAGGAGGAGCTGGTACCATTCCTTCTGAAAGTATTCCAATCAATAGAAAAAGAGGGAATCCTCCCTAACTCATTTTATGAGGCCAGCATCATTGTGATACCAAAGCCTGGCAGAGACAAAACCAAAAAAGAGAATTTTAGACCACTATCCTTGATGAACATTGATGCAACAATCCTCAATAAAATACTGGCAAAACGAATCCAGCAGCACATCAAAAAGCTTATCCACCATGATCAAGTGGGCTTCATCCCTGGGATGCAAGGCTGGTTCAATATACGAAAATCAATAAATGTGATCCAGCATATAAACAGAGCAAAAGACAAAAACTACATGATTATCTCAATAGATGCAGAAAAGGCCTTTGACAAAATTCAACAACCTTTCATGCTAAAAACTCTCAATAAATTAGGTATTGATGGGACGTACTTCAAAATAATAAGAACTATCTATGACAAACCCACAGCCAATATCATACTGAATGGGCAAAAACTGGAAGCATTCCCTTTGAAAACTGGCACAAGACAGGGATGCCCTCTCTCACCACTCCTATTCAACATAGTGTTGGAAGTTCTGGCCAGGGCAATTAGGCGGGAGAAGGAAATAAAGGGTATTCAATTAGGAAAAGAGGAAGTCAAATTGTCCCTGTTTGCAGATGACATGATTGTATATCTAGAGAACCCCATTGTCTCAGCCCAAAATCTCCTTAAGCTGATAAGCAACTTCAGCAAAATCTCAGGATATAAAATCAATGTGCAAAAATCACAAGCATTCCTATACGCCAACAACAGACAAACAGACAGCCAAATCATGAGTGAACTCCCATTCACAATTGCTTCCAAGAGAAATCCAACTTACAATGGATGTGAAGGACCTCTTCAAGGAGAACTACAAACCACTGCTCAATGAAAGAAAAGAGGATACAAACAAATGGAAGAACATTCCATGCTCATGGGTAGGAGGAATCAATATGAAAATGGCCATACTGCTCAAGGTAATTTACAGATTCAATGCCATCCCCATCAAGCTACCAATGCCTTTCTTTACACAATTGGAAAAAACTACTTTAAAGTTCATATGGAACCAAAAAAGAGCCTGCATCGCCAAGTCAATCCTAAGCCAAAAGAACAAAGCTGGAGGCATCACACTACCTGACTTCAAACTATAATACAAGGCTACAGTAACCAAACAGCATAGTACTGGTACTAAACAGAGATATAGATCAATGGAACAGAACAGAGCCCTCAGAAATAACGCCACATACCTACAACTATCTGATCTTTGACAAACCTGAGAAAAGCAATGGGGAGAGGATTCCCTATTTAATAAATGGTGCTGGGAAAACTGGCTAGCCATATGTAGAAAGCTGAAACTGGATCCCTTCCTTACACCTTATACAAAAATCAATTCAAGATGGATTAAAGACTTATACGTTAGACCTAAAACCATAAAAACACTAGAAGAAAACCTGGGCATTACCATTCAGGACATAGACATGGGCAAGGACTTCATGTCTAAAACACCAAAAGCAATGGCAACAAAAGACAAAATTGACAAATGGGATCTGATTAAACTAAAGAGCTTCTGCACAGCAAAAGAAACTACCATCAGAGTGAACAGCCAACCTACAAAATGGGAGAAAATTTCCGCAACCTACTCATCTGACAAAGGGCTAATATCCAGAATCTACAATGAACTCAAACAAATTTACAAGAAAAAAACAAACAACCCCATCAAAAAGTGGGCAAAGGACATGAACAGACACTTCTCAAAAGAAGACATTTATGCAGCCAAAAAATACATGAAAAAATGCTAATATCACTGGCCATCAGAGAAATGCAAATCAAAACCACAATGAGATACCATCTCACACCAGTAAGAATGGCAATCATTAAAAATTCAGGAAACAACAGGTGCTGGAGAGGATGTGGAGAAATAGGAACACTTTTACACTGTTGGTGGGACTGTAAACTAGTTCAACCCTTGTGGAAGTCAGTGTGGCGATTCCTCAGGGATCTAGAACTAGAAATACCATTTGACCCAGCCATCCCATTACTGGGTATATACCCAAAGGACTATAAATCATGCTGCTATAAAGACACATGCACATGTATGTTTATTGCGGCATTATTCACAATAGCCAAGACTTGGAACCAACCCAAATGTCCAACAATGATAGACTGGATTAAGAAAATGTGGCGTATATACACCATGGAATACTATGCAGCCATAAAAATTGATGAGTTCATGTCCTCTGTAGGGACATGGATGAAATTGGAAATCATCATTCTCAGTAAACTATTGCAAGAACAAAAAACCAAACACAGCATATTCTCACTCATAGGTGGGAATTGAACAATGAGATCACATGGACACAGGAAGGGGAACATCACACTCTGGGGACTGTTGTGGGGTTGAGGGAGGGGGGAGGGATAGCATTGGGAGATATACCTAATGCTAGATGACGAGTTAGTGGGTGCAGCGCACCAGCATGGCACATATGTACATATGTAACTAACCTGTACAATGTGCACATGTACCCTAAAACTTAAAGTATGATAATAAAAAAAAAGAAAAAAAAAAAAAGAAATATTTAAAATAGTTGTTTTAAGTGTCCAAGAACTTAAATGAAAAACCACTCTTGTGGTTGGCAGAGAAGCTTAAATTTTATCTGAATAGGAAAAGTTACCAACAAAGGTAACCAGCTAAGCTGTCTACAAAATCATTCATGGGACTACGCTTGCCATTTGGCTGCACTTTGAGCTTAATTTTAAACAGCTTCCAATCCACATTTCAGAAGAAACATTATTAATAAGATGTCCACCTTTGGATACTGGGCCTGGGCTACAAGAGGGCAGAGTGCCACTTTGAAATAGCACAGAATTCCACAATGTGCGTACTTGCCTCATTCCAACTGTTTCACTTTGAGGCTGTGTCGCTACTGACTGAGAAGCTAATCACAGTACATTCGTCCCTGCAGTGATTGAGTTTTTCCCGTTGGGGAGCTTCACTGGAGCCAAGCCAAGCTGATGCTTCACAAGCACAAAACTAGATCACGGTATTCCCCATTCAATGATTTGCTCCTCAGCTACATTTTGTCCTTCAGTAACAGAATGGCCACACAGTTACCCTTCTGCCTGACAATACAGATGAAGAAACGGGAGTACTACTTCTCTAGGCCACCTAGCAAGTATCAGGACAGAATTTTTTAATACCTAGTCTGATACTCTCTTCATGTTTTCAGACTTTTCTTGAAATTGTGTTACATCTAACTGCAGGACAGCTGCCATTATTAAGAATTTAAAAATGAACCTCAGCCAGAAAAAAAAAAAAATGGACTAAATTCCTTCTCACTCCACAACAGTTAGTATTCTTAAATAATATGGCTTTAATTTTTAAAATATTTGGAGTTATAGCCTTCATTCTTTTTGTTTTTCTTTTTTGAGGCAGAGTCCCACTCTGTCACCCAGGCTGAAGCACAGTGGCAGGATCATGACTCACTGAAGCCTCGACCTCTTGAAGCTCAAGCGATCCTCCTGCCTCAGACTTCAGAGTAGCTGGGACTACAGGCAGACACCACCATGCCCGGCTAATTTTTGTGTTTTTAGTAGGGACAGGGTTTTACCATGTTGCCAGGCTGGTTTAAAACTCTTGCGTTCAAGTGATCTACTCACCTTGGCCTCCCAAAGTGCTGGAATTACACATGTAAGCCCCACCATGTATGGCCTATGGCCTTCATTCTTTTTCAACCTTCAACAGTAATAAAATTATTATTCTACGTTTGCAATATATTTCACAGGTTACAACTGGTTCACTAACATATTTGATTGAATACCCTAGAAGTATCCTGCGAAGGGAGAGTCTCTCAATTTAATTGGATCTGAGCTCACAGGTGATGGGCCAACCTCTGCACTTGAATTATCTTTTCAGTGCACCAAAGTTACTCTGTGTTCTTACCTAACCATGTAGACATGGATAAAAGTAATGATCTTCAACTTTTTTTCTTCCTTATTTTCCTTCTGAGGAGGCTTTTTAGATGTTTTGTTCTCCTAATGACCCTGCCTCTGAAATTTTAACACCACAGATATACTATCTACCAATTTATGTATTTTATTTTATCAGTATTAGTCCATTCTCACACTACTGTGAAGAAACACCTGAGACTGGGTAATTTATAAAGAAAAGAGACTTACTTGGCTCACATTTCTGAAGGCTGTACAGGAAGCATAGCAGCTTCTGCTTCTGGGGGAGGGGGGTGGTCTCAGGAAGCTTCCAATCATGGCAGGTGGCAAAGTATGTAAAAAACCTAACAATACGTATGCTTCATAGTTGGTCTTAACAATAGTAAGCTCACCCCCCCTACCTAAATAATGCATAGTATTTTTACTGAATTGAATGTTTAGATTAAACCAAAGCATCCTTATACATGAGAACCAAATATTATTTTTCTGTTTAATTTATAGGGGGAAACGTACATACTTGTTTTTAGATCATTTTATTTTTAAGAACCAGAAATAATCAGATTGAAGTTGGTCCTCATGAGACTCTTGATGATGGGTGCAAAGGGATATCTTAACATTCTTCAAAATTCTTTACAAACCAGCAGGACTTCATCCACTGAGAATGCCAGGTTTATTTACATTTCTTCTTTTAGTTTTATACCTTCCAAGTTTGTTGTTGACAATTTATAATTTGTGTCTCACTAATCTTCTCACCCCACCACTGAGCACTTGGTGTAGCCCCTAAGACACAATCATTGGACCTAGTTTCCATCTTCAAACCTTTCTTTTTGTGTTAGAATAGAAATAACATTTTCTCAACACTTTTCCAATCCCTATCCCTGGCTTACACTCAGCCACTATCTAACAATCATGATACAAAGTGAACCACAAATTATTTCATCTAGATTCTGTTGAAATATTTAAATCTCACCAGCAATTGCAAATTTAATTATTTTTATTAGATTAAGTGCTTATTATATCATCTTTTGGGCCTATGTTTTATGAAAAAAAGTTTTATTTCTCATGAATTTAAAACATTCATGCATAAGCTAAAATACACAGTCATCCCCCCACCCAAAAGAACAGAAATTCCATGATCTGGCATTACTGTGGGCTCAAATTATGGAAGAAATAGGTCAAGATGACCAGTGAGCTTGAGAAAGATAACATTTGTGCAAAGTAACTGTGTTACAGTCAGAGAAACTTTGATTCATGAAAGGTTTTACAGTAACAAAGAATGATCTGGTATTTTCCATGCATAAATAGGAACATAACTCATGAAATATATTTCAGTAGTAATATATACTACATGTGATAAAAGGCTACAACAAATTTGGCATCATCTTTCTTGAAGGACAAAGTGAAACATATAAATTTCTTATCTATGGACATAAACTTACCATGAACAACTGTTTTATTTGAAGTACGACTGAGATTTGGAAGACCTAGATTCAAATTTTGTTGCTGAAACTCAGATGTGTGATCTGAAACAAGCAAATTTGTGTACCTGTCCTAGCTTTAATTTGCTTCTCTATAAAATGGGGGCAGTAATCTTGAAACTGGCAATTTAGTGTATGGTTTAAGTCACTTAACTAAAGTGAATGCATTTGATAAATAATAAGACATGCATTGAATATAAATATATATAGCATATTTAATGAGCAATAACTTTGGAAACTTAGCATATGCCTTTTGTTGAGAATAAATAAAAGAATGTTTAATCTTCCTGCTTCAAATTGCTTCTCAAATCTTGGTGAGGAAAACAAAACAAAGTCCTTTATATTCAAGAAAAACTGTGAGCTATGAGGAGATTTAAGAAAATCAGAACAAGTTAAGTGCAATCTCAGCTTATTTTTCACACTGAGGAAAACAATTTTAAGATAGGTTATTAATTATGTCTGTCTTTTTTGTGGGTATCTCTTTGCTTTCAGTAGATTGAAGATGAGAAAGTGAGAGAGAAGAAAGAAGCAGGAAGGAAGGGGAGGGGAGGGGAGAAGAGGGGAGGGGAGGGGAGGGAAAGGGAAGGGAAGGGAGAGGAAAGAAAGAAAGGAGGAAAGAAAGAAAGGGAGGAAGGAAGAAAAGAAGGGAGGGAGAGAGAGAGACAAAGAGGGAGGGAGGGAAAGGAAGAAAGAAAGACAGAAAGAGAGAGAAGAAAGAGAGAGAGAGAAAGAAAGAAGAAAGAAAGAGAGAAAGAAAAAGAAAGAAAGAAAGAAAAAATAAAAAGAAAAGAGAGGAAGAAGGGAAAGAACAAGAGAAAGAAAGAAGAAAGAAAGGGATAACATTTTATCATGTAGATTACTATAGTACTAAATCCATTATTAGACATTTAAATTGTTTCCAAGTTGAAACTAATAAAAATGCTGTGGTTAAAATCTTAAAAAAAAAAAGAAAGAAAGAAAGAAGAAAAAAGAAAGACAAGAAAGAAAGAAGAAAGAAAGAGAAAGAAGAAAGAAAAGAAAGAAAAAGAAGAAAGAAAGAAAGAAAGGAAAAGAAAAGAAAGGAAGAAATGAAGGAAGAAAAGAAAGAAAGAAAGAAAAAAGAAAGAAAGAAAGAAAGAAAGAGAAAGAAAGAAGGAAAGAGAAAGAAAGAAAAGAAAGAAAGAAAGAGAGAAAGGGAGGGAAGGAACAAATGAACAAAGGAAGTAAATCACCAGTGGTTCTTTCGCTCAATTGTCACCCTCCGTCTACACATGTCTAGGGATTTCTAGCCTCTTTTTTGCTTTACCATGAGCCAAGCAAAATTTTAAAAGTTCTGAGATCAAGATTCTACTCAAAAGTCAACTTCATGTATGTAACATATGTATGAAGAATTTAGCAAAGTAACAGTGAGACTAGAAAAAAACATACTCTAGAATTATCAAGCTAGGGATTTATGGTTGTTCTTTCCATTGCATATCCAGAATCAATGCACATGAACATAAAATGTTGGTAAAGTATGTTAAAATCTATCAAAATACCTAGCAAAAAGACCTAGCCAATACTAAGTACTCAATAAATGTTAGTTTCTGGGGACCTTTTTAAATTGTTTGCTTGTTTGTTTAGTTTTTGTCAATGATCTGTAAAATTTGTGAATTCTCTTGCACAATTTACCACAGATATAATCCTCCATGTTTATATATATCATCACTTTCTTGCCATTATGCATAAACTGTTACTCTTTTCCTCAACAAACTCCTCACGGCATTTTTTACCTCTGTGTTTCTCACAGTGTAAATTATAGGATTTAACATGGGAGTGAGGATTGCAAAGAACACAGTCACCAACTTGTCCACAGAGTAGGTGACCACAGGATGCATGTAGGTGAATATGCAAGGCACAAAAAAGAGTACAACGACAGTAAAGTGGGAGCCACAGGTGGAGAGGGCTTTGTGCTGTCCTTCAGAGCTATAGGATTTCAGGGAGCTCAGGATGACTATGTAGGAGATGACGAGCAGGGAAAAGATGAGCAAGCACATGGCTCCACTGTTGGCTGCCACCAGCATCCCAAGTCTGTAGGTGTCTCTGCAGGCAAGTTTCAACAATGGGAAGAGATCACACATAAAGTGGTCAATGACATTGGGGACCACAGAAGGGCAAGTCGGTCATGAAAAGAATCTGCACAGTGGCATGCAGGATGCCTCCAATCCAGGCTATCACCACCAGAAGGTGGCAGATCCCTTGTTGCATAATGGTTGTGTAGTGCAGGGGCTTGCAGATGGCCACGTAGCGGTCATAGGCCATGACAATAAGGAGGATGATCTCTGAGCCTCCCAGCAAGTGCTCCACAAAGAGCTGAGTCAGGCAGCCAGCCAAGGAAATAGTTCTCCTCTGGTAGAGCAGGTCGGTGATCATTTTGGGGGTTGTGACAGAGGTGTAGGAGGCATCTATAAAGGATAAGTAAGTGAGAAAGAAGTACATGGGTGATGAAAGTGTGGGGCTACAGGAGATGGTGATGACAATGAACAGATTGGCCAGCATGGTAAATAGAAAAATAAATAAAAATACAATAAAGAGTATTTTCTGCAAGTGTGGATTCTGTGTGAGCCCCAAGAGAATGAATTCAGTCACATTGTTGGGAGGCATGTGGTGATCCATTCAGAGAGTAATACCTTCCAGGTATTAGGGTCTGAATTACCTACAAGAGATAGATAAAGAAAGATTATTATTAATCATTAAAGGATTACAGTCTGAATTTCACAGTATAGAGATAGGGTAGTTAACTGTGGAGCATGTCTTTGGCTTCCCTCACCCCATTAATTATTTAAATTATTCATTTCCACTTCCTCCATGATGCTTTCAGTCTCTTCACGTAAATACATCTAGTATTATCACCTGTAAAACATATATAAGGCAACAGTTTCTGTGTAATTTGCTGAGAACATACTTGACTATATACATGAGATCTGGATTCTTCCTCTTGTTCCAACTCCATTTGACTTTGCTAAGTTACTACAGTGTCCCATGCTTTTGAGCCTTCCTCTACATCTGTGAGTTTACAAACTGTAGTTGTGAGATTGATTTTGTAAACTATAAAGTGCTGTACACAGGTAAGGATTATTCTCTCTTCCCACAGAATTTACATTTGAACCCACAGCTCTAACTGGGAGAAAGACATGGTCAAGAAATATCGATTGTAAGCAGGCAGATTAGGGAAACATAAGTTGTCAGAGACACACTTTCCCTAGCACCCACCATAATAAATATGCTATTCATGTTGCTTTCCTCACTGTAACTATGCAGTGGTTGACAGAGTATTTTCAGTGCCTGGCACCTACCAGGCAATGAATACATGCTTGGTGAATTCCCCTACATCTTCCCTTCCTACATCTCCATGTGTAAGGATGCATGTGTTTCCCCAGCCCATAAACCTAGGAATTTAAGTACTCTTATCCTCCCACTCTGTTTATCCATGCTGTCTACCTTATGAGAACATAAACAAACTTTTGAAAGGAAGATGCATTCCAGTTTAATAGTTTCTAGCATATATCATAGGATGAGGATGGAAGTATCAATTGCCTGCAGGAAAGACTATGTTACTGGGTAATTTGGATCTCAATATAATTATAATGTTATTTTCTTTTTTTTGACAAAGTCTCACTCTGTTGCCCAGGCTGGAGTGCAGTGGTACAATCTCGGATCACTGCAACCTTCACCTCCCCAGTTCAAGCAATTCTTCTGCCTCGGACTCCTGAGTATCTGGGATTACAGGTGCACACCACAATGCCCAGCTAATTTTTTGTATTTTTAGTAGAGACAGGGTTTCACCACGTTGCCAAGGCTGGTCTCAAACTCCTGACCTCAGGTGATCCACCCACCTCGGCCTCCCAAAGTGTTGGGATTATAGGTGTGAGCCACCATGCCCAGTCATGCTCTTTAATTAATATTGTTTATTCTTCAAAATTATGTTCTACATACAATTTAACACAGTCTCAACTCAGTAAATTTAAAACTTCTATAGACAGGTATATATACGTAAAAAAACTCTTGGAGAAGTTTTTCAGTCCATAATCTGTCAAAGCCAAAGAATCCCTTATTTTCAAAGTTTTAAAAATAGAAAATCAATGTAGAGAACAGAAATAGACTGCTAGATAAGACAAAGTACTATACAAATATATACACACACGTACACAAACACTAACATATAAAATCTACTAGTTACTATAAGTAAGTATCTATGACTTGCATATTCACTCATTCAGGGAATACTTATTGGACACTACATATTCATGTATGTTTGCCCATATAAAATCATAAATTTGTTCCTGACAGAGCCCTTTTGTCAGCTCTCCCCTGACATTTTATTACCACATAACAACAATTCACCTACTCACAAGATGAATAATACCTTCTACTACTTTATTTCTGCTACATACATTCTCATGCCTTTTTCTCCCACTCTTCCCTAACATCCATCGTACATCACTCTTGCTTTGAGAAAACTGCATTATTAATAGAAAAGGAAAAATCATCCCAGTTTGGAGACAAACATTTCCCAAAAATATGAAAACAAGGCTGAGCACAGTGGCTCACATCTGTAATCCCAACACTTTGAGAAGCCGAGGCCGGTGGCTCATGAGGTTAAGAGTTTGAGACCAGCCTGGCCAACATGGTGAAAACCGATCTTTACCAAAATTACAAAAATTAGTCAGGCATGGTGGCGGACACCTGTAATCCCAGCTCGTTGAGGCTGAGGCAGGAGAATCGCTTAAACCCGGGAGGCAGAGGTTGCAGCGAGCCAAGATCACGCCATTGCACTCCAGCCTCGGCAAGAGTGCGAGACTCCATCTCAAAAAAAAAAAAAAAAAAAAAAAAAGAATACAGAAAACATAAGTATAACAAAATGTATTCTGTGAAAAATATTTTTCTTTTGAAAAATAAGTCTATAAAGGGGTTTATTTTTTGATTGTCCAGGACAAAAATTGTGTACATATGTGAAAACAAAGTGCAGCCGCTTCATTGTTTTCTCTTATTCTGAGGTCGACCAAGCAGATCTGATAGAGTATGGTGTGCATAAAGTAAGAGAAGACATAATAAACGTGATCTAAAAATAAACATAGATAAATTAAAGTCAGCTTGTCTTTTTCCTTGGACTTCACAATATTTTTTTCTAAGAATAAATCCTAAAAGAAAATACTTTAAAAAAAGAAAAATCATTCAGTACTAATATGTTCAACAAAACTATTGAAAGCTGCAGAAAATTAGAAACTACATGGAATGTCTCACATTAGAGAAGCGGGGAAGTAAAATATAGTGAGCCTCTCAGAATTATGTGTAGTTTTTAACAATGTTCTTAAAATTTGTGTAATATCAAATGAAAATTTTTATGTTGTAATATTAAGTGGGGAAAATGTGGACACAAATTTGAATACATAATATGATCCTAATTAATTTAAATATATGTCAATGGGAAAAAAAAGACCTTAAAATATTTTTACTTCTAAAGTGGTGGGATTATATTACAGTTGATTCTATCTTTCTTGATATTTTAAATGCAGAAGAAGAGAATTAAACCTTAGATTGGTGGGGAAGAAGGGTGATTTTTAAGGTCCATTTAATCCTGAGGTTCTATGTTTATATGATTTCTTAAAAAACAAATCTCACCTATTAACTTGTCTGGCATAGCTCCACGGCCAGAGCCCCAGGCAGCTGTTAGTTTATCAAGAAGTGCAGCTGTAAGATAAAAAATGCCAACTAGCTCAGCTCCAGTAGGTCTTTGTGGATTTATAAATGGCATCTTTGGATGGTACCTTTCTCTTGAGTCTTAGAAGTGCTACCACATATCCTCTTTGCAGGCAAATTCTGCAAAGTTTCTTAGCTATGGTTAATTAGACCTCACGGGTATTTCACTATTATTAGCAGACCTTGCCTACAGCCCAATTAGTTTCACGTTACTTAACTGAACATGAGAACAGAATGTTTGCAGCATTTATCTTTAATTTTAACTGCTTGCTTAAGTCTGCATGAAGATTAATCATTGTGTCAAAAATAAACTTGACCACTTATAAATTTGGACATTTGATAATGTATCAAATAAACTTAGTAGGGAGTCTGGATATTTGGTATTGTATAAATTAAACATTTGGGTGGTTAACTGACTTTTAAATTTTTCATTATAATATTTCCTTATTAACCTATCTTTCATAATTTTAATCTGTTATAATTTTAATTTCAGATGTAAATTAAGTGATAGTAATGACTCCTATTATAATAGCGGCACTTCATCAGTTGTAGCTTACAGTACTTCAAAGCAGTTGTTTCTCCTGCTAATTCTGGAATTAGATTAACATGACAATGATGAAAATAATTACATTCTTAAATTATATTCAGAGTAGTAAAATTCATTTATTTCAGTCATTTAAATTTAATCTAACAATATCCCTATGGCTTGGGAAAGATATAGGCATCAGTATTCCTTCTTTACAACATGGAAAACTAAATCAAGGAATTAGAACCTCATCTGGCAAGGCAAAATTAGAAGCCAAGCCTTCTAAATTCTGGGCCAGGATTCTTATTCTTAAATTATTGCTTTACAACTAATGTGTCATGAAACTGTTATGTTGTTGCAAATTGTGAAGCATGTTAGAATTATCTCCTAGTAGAAACATTTACCTAGTGTAGTACCATGATAATATTTATGATGGTAGGTGACAAAGTTTGAATGAGGGTTTGAAACTATCTAAAGAACTATAATAAACATGGATTTTGCTAAGTTGTCATCTGTGAAAATGTCTTGAACTGTCTTTCAAGTCTGGAGTGAAAGCACAGAGCCAGATCAGAGAATTTGCATGAACTTACAAGGTCATCATGCCCAACCTAATAAAATATTAAACTCCATTCATGATGGCCCATTAGGTAGCCATCCAGTCTCTACTTGAATAGCTAAGAGTGGTGATAGATAGAGTTCTTTGGAATCCCTACACCTGTCTAGTCAAGCTCCCAGGATCCCAGAGTAGAGTAGCATGGAGTGAAGAAAGGACAGTCTACAGAGTTAGGTCCCAGTCAAAGAGGGTTGAACATAAAGGTAACTTTTCAAAAGAGGAGTTCCTGGAGCTATAAGAAAAAGTCTGTTTCCAGAATACAAATCCAAAAGTGAGTGGGAAAAACTGAAGAGAAAGCAACACAGATTTTTCCAACTAAAAAGGTAAGCCAGAATAAGCAAAAAAATTACCTGTGGATCAGATAACAGTTGGTAAGAAACCAGTGGAGTGTACATTTAACATTTGACAGATCCAAGTCAGGAGCTAATTAAACAAAAATAAGATGTCTGACAGTGTTCTTACGGGCAGTTTAATGCACTTCAATAGACTCAAGAACACATTCTCAAAGTAACAAAACACTCAAGAGCAGAGCTTATATTTTCTTAGTCCAATCTAAAATCCCTTTTATTCCAGGAGGACATCTCATAAGTTGTTTATTAAAAATTGAAAAGTTTGGAGTTGTATTCAGCTGCTGGCCTCCAGACACACAATCACTCAAAACCCTTCCAACTTTCCCTCTTCTAGTTGTAGAATAAAATATAGCAATATTTATCGTAATAAATATCTTAGTATGGACATAATCACAGAACTTGTAAACACCTTCTAAATGTTCTAAGTAAACTACTTGTAGAAATAGGGAGAGCTATTTAAGGTCATGGAATGAATACAGTGGAACAGTAAGAAATAAACCCATGTCTTCTGATCCTGAAGCTAGTGTTTCCATCTTGTTTCCACAATCATGATATGCTTGCTAAATATTGTCACATCAAAGAGTCTACTGATTTTTTAAATAAAACATATAACCATCAGTTAGAAGGCTGGATCTTTCTGTCAAAAGAGGTAGCTATTAAAATAAGAAAATTAGATTTCAATTTTACATGGCTATTGTGACCAAGTAGGGACACTAAAGAGTTTTCAGAGGTTTAAATGCAATTCATTTTTTGTTGAATTTTATTTAGTTTCTAGAATTGGACAGCCAACAATGTCCTCTTTGCTGCATTAAGGTGACTACAGCTTGTGGCACCCGAACTATTAACTTCTGACCTAGGGCTAGCTTGTTGGCGTCTTCCATGAGGATTGTGGTAGCTGCCAATGCCCTGAGGCAGTGGGGCCAACCTAAGGCCACCAAGTCCAGTCTTTTCGATAAGTATGCTACTGGCCGATGCCAAGAGGCCAACAATTGAGTTAAGACACCGACTGCCATTTTGTTTATCCACATACAAAAAGAAGGGCTTTTTTTACATCCGGCAACCCTAGTGACAGGGCCTGGATGAGAGCTTCCTTTATATCCTTGAAGGCCTTTTCCTGTTCCTTTTCCCATAAGAGGGGCTCTCTTTTCCCACCTTTGGTAGACTCATGTAAGGGCCTTGTTATAGGGTAGAAGTTTAGAATCCAGATTCGGCAGAATCCCACCGTGCCTAGAAATTCCCTGACCTGCTGCCTTTAACTGTGGTGGGCAATGCACATACAGCCTCCTAGCGTGCCCTTTCAAGCCTGCCCTGGCCTTGGGATACCATGAATCCTAGATATCTAACTTCCCGAAAACAGACTTGTTTTGCCTTGTCCTTGGACACTTTGTAACCAGCTTCACACAGCAGGTGATGAAGCCTCTTTCTTCCTTGAAGGCATTCCTCCCTCCTGAGGGCTGCGAATAACAAAATCAGCAATGTATTGTAATAGCACACAATTGTCACTAGGTTGCGCAAAGCCTCAAGATCTGTAGCCAAAGCCTCCTCAAAAATGGTAGGAGAATTCTTAAACCCTTGTGGCAGCCTTGTCCAGGTATATTGTGATTGCCCCCACTGGAAGGCAAATATAGGCTGATTTTGGGGAGAAAGCCTCAAACAAAAGAAGGCATTCTTTAAGTCCAGACATGTGAACCAAGTGTCATCAGCAGGAATCTGTCCCAGCATTTTGTATGGGTTGGTTACTATGGCATGGATAGTGACAGTGGCCTTGTTTACCACCCGGAGGTCCTGCCTTGGCCTGTATTCCCCACTTGGTTTGCACACAGACAGCAGAGGAGTATTCCATGAGGACTTGCATTTTACTATAATCTCATGCATATAAAGCCAATTTATGTGCTTTGTTATTCCATCAATTGCCTCTCTGGGTAGTGGGTATTGACAGATTCACACTGGGGAAGCATGAGGGTTAAACTCTACTACCACCGGGGGTCTATTTGCAGCAAGTCCAGGGGGGTTGTCCTGAGTGCATACACCCAGTACCTTGAAAAGCATCCCCCACATATTGTGTAGGCCTGACTCTGGTGGCCTTCTGGCACACATTCATATAGCCGCCATTCCTCAACTCTTGGGACAGTCAGGGTCAATACCATCGCCTTAGATTTTCCAAACTCCAGAGTCATATTCCCTTTAGGTGTAAAGGAAATTTGTGCCTGAAGTTTCTGGAGTAAGTCTCTCCCCAACAAGGGCATTGAACAACTTGGCATATATAGAAACTCATGCTGCACTTCTTGTCCCCCGATAACACAACTCCTGGATTTGCAAAAAGGTCTCTTTTCTTTGGCCCCAGGAGCCCCTATGATAGTAGCACAGTTCTTTGTAGGGGGGCTAACTGGGTGAGTTACCACAGAGAAATCAGCACCAGTATTGACCAAAAAATCCATTAATCGCCCCCCTACTTCCATAGAGACCATAGGCTCCCCGGGCCTAAAAAGATGGAACCCGGTCTATCTCAGTCCTCAAAATTCTCAGCCCCTGCTAAGCCAATCAAATCAGGATCTGCCTTTGAGGCGCCATGACTAGCAACCAAACATCTCACTCAGGTGTTAGACCATTGACCATCATTTTCATCCTTTTCCTTTTCAGAACACTCATCTTTCCAGTAGCCCATTTGCCTGCACCTTGCACATTGGTTGCTGTCCAATCAGGACTGGCTTTCCTCTCCCGGTCTTTTCTGCCCCCTTCCTCAGCCTCTGACTCGGCCACGCCTTCTAGCAAATCCAGGATTACTTTCTGCTAGTGTAGCAGCTATAAATTGAGCCATCTCTTTGTTCCTATTTCTGTTTTTTCTTTCTTCCTTTGATTGGGCTGCCTGAGCCACTAATGCCTTGTAAAATCCCTCTAGGCAGGCCTGTAGCCACTTGGGGCGAGTTTGTGCCACATTGAGCCTAGAGTCTACATAGGAGAACTGGTCTGGGTATCCTGGTTATCCTCCAGCTCCAGTGACCACATTAAACACACGGCCAATTATTTCCATGTCTATTGTACCTTCAGAGGGCCAACCCACATTGAAAGCAGGCCAGTCTATCTCACAGTATGTCCTTAACTTTTGAGCATCCAGTTTCATCCCATAATCACCTCTAAATCCTTTTTAAAATTCTTTATCACGCACTCCAAAGGAGTTGGTTTCGATGCTTTCCCTCTCATTTCCTCCCTTGCGGCACACTTTCACTCTCATTTTCACTCTCGGGTCCACCAGAATGGGTCCTATTACAAGAGTTTCGGATGCTGCTTAGGCAGGAACGTGCCTTCCCCATCACAGCCTGCTGCAGCTGCGAAGGTGGTCCTAAGGTCAGCCATATGCAGTGTCCTAGGTCTGATTTCTCCCTCAGTCGCCTCAGAGCACACAGCCCGTGCTAAGGGATCTGTGCCTCCCCATCTCATTCCCTGCATTGGCCTCTCCTGAGACTGTCTCTCTTTCACACACTTTCATACTCCTTCCCTGCCCCAGCACTCCTCATCACACAAAATGAGCCTCTCTCATGTCCCCGGTGGGCCTAGTTAGGCTCCCACATTCACACACATACATACACCACTCGTACCCCAGGGCACCTCATCAGACTAAACGAGCCTCTCTCATGTCCTGGGCAGGTTCATATGCACCGACACACTACTAGTTCCTGTCTCCAGATCCAGTGAACCATTTTCACTTTATTAGTGGGGACATGAGGTTCATCCAAGTTGACAAGCCACTCCTGCCACCCCCAGCCGCGTCTGGGTTGGATTAGTGGCTGTTCCCCAGGAGGTGATCAAGCTCCCCTTCATCCTTATGCGACGGGCTTCCTTGCCTTGGGCCCTTGCTCCTTACCATGGTTCCTGAAGTGCTGGTATCATCCTGCAACCCCATCCCCAGTTCCGTTACGCTGCTGGGCAGGCCACTGGGACGCGGGAAGAGCCGGTCTCCATCCAGGTGAATCTTCCCCGCAGTGCGTCTTGGATGCTGGGTCTCCCCCGGCCCCGGGGCTGTATTCTCACAGGCAAAGGAGACAGCAAATCTGTCGTCTCCAATCCCAGGGAAGCCCCCAGAAATGTTGCGGGATTTTTAAGGAATCAGAGACACCAGTGGGGTTCAGGAGGATATTTATTATTTAGGTGCACTGGTCTAATTGGATTAACATCCAAAGGACTGAGCCCTGAACAAAGAGTTAAGTTACCTTTTAAGTATTTTGTGGGGTTGGGGGAGATCTGTCTAGGGGGAAGCATACTACGGAAGCGAGAAACAAAGGCAGTTATTCAATCAATTGAGACATGCATTACATCTTTTCTTACTTTTCAAGGAAAAACATGTTTTGTGACTTGAGTTTATCTGTGACCTTGCAGCTTCACATCTAGGGAAATAGGGTCTTCACAATGCCTGGGAAAGGAGGAGAGATAAGGCTCACTAGCCACAGAAAAACAGGCAGTTAAATTTTAAAGGACTACAGCTCTTTCTCTTCTCAGGGGAATTGGTTTTTTTTACATACAACTGAGTTTCTGCTTACACACTCTTTAATTTCTTTTTTTAATTGTATTATTATTATACTTTAAGTTTTAAGGTACATGTGCACAATGTGCAGGTTAGTTACATATGTATACATGTGCCATGCTGGTGTGCTGCAACCATTAACTCGTCATTTAGCACTAGGTATATCTCCTAATGCTTTCCCTCCGCCCTACCCCAACCCACAACAGTCCCTGGAGTGTGATGTTCCCCTTCCTGTGTCCATGTGTTCTCATTGTTCAATTCCCACCTATGAGTGAGAACATGCAGTGTTTGTTTTTTTGTCCTTGTGATAGTTTGCTGAGAATGATAGTTTCCAGTTTCATCCATGTCCCTACAAAGGACATGAATTCTTCATTTTTTATGGCTGCATAGTATTCCATGGTGTATATGTGCCACATTTGCTTAATCCAGTCTATCATTGCTGGACATTTGGGTTGCTTCCAAGTCTTTGCTATTGTGAATAGTGCTGCAATAAACATACGTGTGCATGTGTCTTTATAGCAGCATGATTTATAATCCTTTGGGTATATACCCAGTAATGGTATAGCTGGGTCAAATGGTATTTCTAGTTCTAGATCCCTGAGGAATCTCCACACTGACTTCCACAATGGTTGAACTAGTTTACAGTCCCACCAACAGTGTAAAAGTGTTCCTATTTCTCCACATCCTCTCCAGCACCTGTTGTTTCCTGACTTTTTAATGATTGCCATTCTAACTGGTGTGAGATGGTATCTCATTGTGGTTTTTATTAATTCCTGTTCCAATAAGAAATAAAATAAATCATTGTATCAAAGAGACATCTACATCCCCATTTTTATTGCAGCACTATTCACAATATCCAAGATATGGAATCAACCTAATTTTCCAACAACACATGGATGGATAAAGGAAATGTATATATACAACATGGAATGCTATTCAGCCATAAAAAAAAAAAATGAAATTTTGTCATTCATTACAACATAGATGGAACTGGAGGAAATTAAGTGAAATAAGCCAGAAACAGAAAGTTAAACTCCACATAGTCTCACTCATATGTGGAAGCTAAAAAGAGCTGATCTCATAGGTGTCAAAGGTAGAACAGAGAATACTAGAGGCTGGGAAGCATAGGGGGAAGGGAGGGATAGCAAGAGATTCATTAAAGGCTATAAAATTACAGATGGACAGGAGGAATAAATTCTAGTGTTCTATGCCACTGTAGGATGACTATAGTTAACAACAGTATATTATAGTTAACAACAGTATATATATTATATATTAATACGTATTATATAGTACAATATATATTATACTACATAGTTCAAAATAGCTAGAAGGAGAGTATTGACTGTTCCCAATACAAAGAAATGATAAATGTTTGAGATGATGGATATGTTAATTACCCTGATCTAATCACCATACATTATATGTATGGAAATGATACTTTGTACCCCATGAATATGTACAATTATTATTTGACAATTAAAAAAATAAATTTTTTAAAAAAGAATTAGTTTCCTGAGTTCCAATCTGTTAGAATAATTCAAACCACCCAAAGGATTATAAATTATCCTGCTATAAAGACACATGCACATGTATGTTTATTGTGGCACTATTCACAGTAGCAAAGACTTGGAATCAACACAAATGTCCAACAATGATAGACTGGATTAAGAAAATGTGGCACATATACACCACGGAATACTATGCAGCCATAAAAAATGATGCATTCATGTCCTTTGTAGGGACATGGATGAAGCTGGAAACCATCATTCTCAGCAAACTATCACAAAGACAAAAAACCAGACACTGCATGTTCTCACTCATAGGTGGGAATTGAACAATAAGAACACATGGAAACAGGAAGGGGAACATCACACACCGGGGACTGTTGTGGGGTGGGGGGAGGGATAGCATTAGGAGATATACCTAATGCTAAATGACGAGTTAATGGGTGCAGCACACCAACATGGCACATGTATACATATGTAGCAAACCTGAACGTTGTGTACATATACCCTAAAACTTAAAGTATAATAATAATAAAATTTAAAAAAAGAATAATTCAAACCAAAGGTATTGTTCTGTTTGCTTAATTGATCTATATAATTGCTTCAATTAGCCCCCTTGCTTTTCAAGTGAGAGATGTCATTTTGGAAATGAAGATGCTGAGAGATTATAACCAAATACATCCTTTGACTCTGTCCTCTAGGGTCTTAATATATACAGTACTCCTCTCTTATCTGAGGTTTTTGTTTTGGTTTCTTTGATTTGGTTTAGTTTTTTAGGTTAGGTTTTGCTTTTTGATTTTGTGTTGTTTTGAGACAGTGTCTCACTCTGTCTCCTGAGCTGGAGTGCAATGGCATGATCTCAGCTCACTGTAGTCTCTACCAACCAGGCTCAGGTAATCCTCCCATCTCAGCCTCCCAAGTATCTGAGACTACAGGCATGCACCACCATGCCTGGCTAATTTTTGTATTTTTTGTAGAGATGAGATTTTGCCATGTTGCCCAGGCTGATCTTCTGGGCTGAAGCAATCCACCTGCCTTGGCCTCCCAAAGTGCCACAATTACAGGCATGAGCCACTGTGCCCAGACTTATCTGAGGTTTTGCTTTCCACAGATTCAGTTATCTGTGGTCAACCATGGTCCAAAATATTAAATGAAATATTCCAGAAATTAACAATTCATAAGTTTTAAATTGCAGGCCAATCTGAGTATTATGTTACCATCATAAGCCACCCTGCTCACTCCTGCCCATGAAGTGAATCATCCCTTTGTCCAGCACTGTAGATGCCCCCTGCAGATTAGTCCCGTAGTAGCCATCTGAGTTATTAGATTGACAGTTGCAAAATCACACTGCTTGTGTTCAAGTAACTCTTATTTTACTTAATAATGGGCAGAAATAGTGCAAGAATATGATGCTGGCAATTTGGATATGCCAAAGAGAAGACATAAAGTGCTTCCTTTAAGTGAAAAGAAGTTCTCAACTTAATAATAAAAGAAAAAAAATACTCTGCTGAAGTTGCTAAGATCTACGGTAAAAACAAATCTTATGTTTGTAAAATTGTGATAGAGGAAAAAGAAATTTATGCTAGTTTTGCTGTCACACATCATATTACAAAAGTTATGGCCATAGTGTGTGATAATGAGATGAGATAGTTCCCTTGACCTCCTTCACGTGCAGGAACTGGAGTGGCTCATTTCACTGAGTTCACTGCTAGCCATTCGTGGGAGGGAGCATGCAAGTGAGCAAGTGTGGGAACCAGAGGGAACAAACACTGGAACTGGCTGGTCACTCCGCTCTGGCAGGAGCAGGCTCTTTGTGGGCCCCGCAGCAGCATCCAAGTGTGTTACAACCAATACTCTTTCAGCTCTGCCACCCAGGGATGGCCAAGTGCCAACCAGCTCAGTGGAAGGTCAGGGTGGTAGCCCCTGCCACCTTGGCACCTAGGTTCCTGTCCAATCCAGGAAGAATCAGGTCACATGAACTGTTTGAAAGGAGATGCATAAGGACGACTTTATTGAGTGGTGGGTGGCTTTCAGCAGAAAGAGAGGCTGGAAAGGGGATGGGAAGGTGATCTTTCCCTGAAGCCATACTGTCTGAAGTTAGCCACATCTATCCATAGTCTCTGATGCTCAGTTGCTTCTCTGCTCTCCACTCAGCCTCTTGTATCTTACACACTCAGCTGCTTGTGTTGCCCTGTCAGCTGAAGTCTTTTATGGGCACAGGATAGGGGTGGGGCAATCCAAAAAGGCAATGTTTGGGTGGAAAACCAGGGTCAGTTGTTTTCGCTTAGGGCTGCGGATCCAGGTTTAAAGGTGGGGTTTACTCGGGAGCCCAGCTCTTCTGTATGTATAAATGCTTAGTTAAGATGGAAAAGACATTAAGTTTGTAGGTAAAAGACATGAACATTATCATATTCTGATTTACAGCAATCGAGTTCATTACTATCCTCAGTTTCAGGTATCCACTGGGGGTCTTGGAATGTATCCCCTGCTTATAACAGGGGACTACTATAAAGGCAAATCACAAAAATTAAAGATTAATGATATGAGGTTTTTAAACTTCCACTTCCACACAGATTAAGCCTGTCTCTCCGTCTTATTCCTAAGATAAACAAGTAAATTAAATGGAAATGTGGTAAGAATCACTATCTGCATCTATCAAATTTCTTGTTAGCACTAATTTTTCCAAGTATCCCAAGGGTGTGGTGCTGCTTTTTGCTTACTATTTGGGTAAAAAAAGGTTCGTTCCAAATAGTTCTACTTGGTCCCTCATACCAAAGTAACTTTACTTCAGATATCAGGTACCCTATATAGTTACCCTATATAGACATTTATACATCCATCAAGAATTAAGGTTTGAAAACCTCCACCTAGATTTCAGAGGATGTCCAAGCAGAAGTTTGCTACATGGGTGGAGCCCTCATGGAGAACATCTGCTAGGGCAGTGTGGAATGGAAATATGAGGTGGGAGCCCCCACACAGAGTTCCCACTGGGGCAGGGCCTAGTGGAGCTGTGAGAAGAATGTCACCATCCTCCAGACCCTAGAATGGTAGATCCACTAACAGCTTGCGCTATGCACCTGGAAAAGCCACAGACACTCAATGCCAGCCATGAAAGCAGCTTGGAGGGAGCTGTACCATTCAAAGCCAAGGGGGAAGATCTGCTCAAGGCTGTGGTAGCCCACCTCTTGCATCAGTGTGACCTGGATGTGAGACGTGAAGTCAAATGAGGACATTTTGGAACTTTAAGCTTTAATGACTGCCCTATTGGATTTTGGAGTTGAATGGGTCCTGTAGCCCCTTTGTTTTGACCAATTTCCCCCATTTGGAATGGGTGTATTTACCCAATGCCTGTACTCCCATTGTATCTAGGAAGTAACTAACTATGTTTTTGATTTTGCAGGCTACTAGATGGAAGGGACTTGCCTTGTCTTAGATAAGACTTTGGACTTGGACATTTGGGTTAATGTTGGAATGAGTTAAGGCTTTAGGGAACTGTTGGGAAGGCATGATTGTGTTTTAAACTGTGAGGACATGAGATTTTGGAGGGGCCAGAGGAGGAATGATATGGTTTGGCTGTGTTCTCACCAAAATCTCAACTTTAATTGTAGTTCCTATAATCCCCATGTGTTGTGGAAGGAGCCTGGTGGGAGATAATTGAATCATGGGGACAGTTACACCCATGCTGCTGTTCTCATGATAGTGAGTGAGTTCCACAAGATCTGATGGTTTTATAAGGGGCTTCTTCCCGTTTTGCTCCTGCCACCATGTGAAGAAGGGTATGCTTACTTTCCCTTCTGCCATGATTGTAAGTGTCCTGAGGCCTCCCCAACCATGTTGAATGGTGAGTCAATTAAACCTCTTTCCTTTATAAATTACCTAGTCTCAGGTATGTATTTATTAGCAGTGTGGACAAAGAGGGACAGTTTAAAATGAAGTGATAAAATAACTTTGGACCTCCGAACTTCTATGGATATGAAGCAGGAGGAGCAAACTACTAATCTACAAACAAAGGTTTTTTATGGAACACAGGTTTATTATGGAAAAGAACAGATAGCTGAGAAGACCGAATCCAAAGCCCAAGAGAAGAAATAAGAGTCATGTAAAGTCACTGCACTAAGTAGGCTGGACAATAATCAAAGAACTGAAAAGATATGTAACTAGATGAGTTTCAGAATTGCTATGGAACAGCCACTGTATTTTTTTTTCCTCTCCTTTCTGAATGTATCTATAGGGGTTATGTCTTACCTGTCATACCATCGTACATTGGCAGGGCAGGAAGGGGCAGATAACCTGTTTCTTTAATTCAAAGGTCTTCCAATTGAAAATTTCAATGGAAAGGAATAATACTCAAGGAACCACACTGCAGGAGGAACAACACAACAGGAGCCTCCTCAGCCACAGCTGGACATGATTTAGATGATGAGGTCCTGGATCTCAAACTGAGCCTGATGCTGTAAGTGAATGAAATTTGGGAAGGGGGCCTGGAGAAAAGGAAGGGGAGTGTACAGTGTTTATTGGAGGATGTGTGCTTTGTAAGCAGGGGCATACTGTGGCAGATTGTATTTCTGCAACTGTATGTCTTGTTGCATATGGTCTTCCAAAGCATTGCCATTTCCCCATCAGGAAGTGGACTCTATCCTCTTTGCTTGCATGTGGGAGAGAGTTTATGGTGTCTTGACTAATGGAATATGGCAGAATCTTTCTACGTGACTTTCAAGGTTAGGTCAAAGAAACACCACCGCTTCCACCTGGCTCACTCTCTTGGGACACATGGTTTTTAGAGCTCTGAGCTACCATGTGAAATGCCTGCAGTATCCTCAATCCAGCATGCTTGAGAGGCCATATGGGGAAATTACATACACAAAGGGGAAGATGCCCAAGAAGCACCAACTATTTTAGCCCTCACTGTTCAAGACTTTCAGGCCTACATACCAGACATGTGACTGAAGAAACGTTTTATATGACTTAAGCACCAGCCAATTTCTGACTGCAACCTCGAGATACCCTGAGCTAGAAGTATCTAGCTGAGCTGCTGCTTGCAAGTTCCTGACTCACAGAACTATCTGACATAATTAAGTGATGATCAGTGTTTTAAACCACTAAATGTTAAGGTAATTCATTATACAGCAATAGTATCTGAAACACTCAGTAAATTACATACTGTAGTACTGGCTTCTTGAATAAATGATTAGACTAATTGAACAAAATTGAAAAGTAGGAAATGGAACAATTTTTATATTTGCATTTTATATATAAAAGTACTTGTATTGCAAGGTAGTAGACAATTAAATGATTATTCAATAATGCGATGGGAAAATTATTTTCATGATAAGAAAGTGAAGTGCATTTCCACCTCACACCATACCTGAAAATTCAAACCTTATGTGGTGTAAAGAGACCAGACAAGTTAGTGTGAAAGGCAAAACTTTAAACTTTCAGAGAAAATTATCTTGATATAAAACTCAGGGCAAGAGAGGACTTTGAGAAGCATGTGCAGAAGACAAGAGAACTTTCTTCCTGAGTTTAGCTTCCTCATCTCTGCATCATGGCTTGGGTGGCAAATCCCTGATCCTAACTATGCTCACTCCAGTATCCAGATGCCAGAGTCCCCAATTCCAATGATTATGAAGTTCTAATTCCTGCTATTAGATTCCTTTCTTACTAAATAATCTACATCACTTTTTATTTTCTTCACTAAAGAATAAATACGATTTCATGGCATATTTTTTGTTCAATATGTGTTGAATAACTGGAAGCATTAATATTTCAAAGTGCATTAAGTAAATCTATTATAAACTGAGGAAAGGAAAATGAAAAAAAGATACCAACTTTTTACCTTAATATGGATGCTGTAGGTTGACTTCATCAAGGCAATATGTAATGCCAGAGCCCTTAAAAATTATCTTTGTAATACAGTATTAGCTCTCTAAACCTACTCTAGAGCAACTCTAAACAGAGAAGACACCTTTGATGTATCACTTCAGTCAGTGAGAACATATAGTTCACAGAGATTCTGAAAGCCATTTACTGTGTAAAACAAAGCAATCCGTTCCAAAAATGTTTAACATTCATTCTGTTTTTTTTTTTTAAGTCCACCCAGAGAGTTTAATGTAGGTAGATTCTGTGGGCTCTACTGTTACACGAGTGACTTAAGCATGTATTTCAACTATTGGAGGAGGCCAATTGATCTAGATATACAGAATGGGATTGAACAATTTTCCTATTCAAAAGTTAATTGAAATATACAAAAACAATTATATGCTATCTGGACATCTTAACTCCATCACAGTATAAAATTAACAAAGTTTATTTCTTTATAACAAAGTAGATTTGTCCTCATCTATGAACATATCTATGAAACTTTGAATTCATTGATTTGACATTTATTTTTACTGTTAGATTAATAATCTTCTAACAATCTGAATTTTCAAGTTTAAAATATCAGTCCCTCGGACTAAAGTTAACAAATTTTTTAGGTCACATTTACATGTGCCAGAAAGATATAGCCCATAAACAAGAATAGATTTCTGATGTTTCCACCACAAAAAAAAATTTAAAAAACGATGTTGGGGAGGTGATAGATATCTTCATTAGATTGATTAAATATTTCTATAATGTATACATAAATCAGAACATCACATTGTACTCCATAAATATACTAAATTATTGTCAATTTAAACTAAATACAAAAGAAAAATAAATGATTTTTAAAATTAAAAACAGCTTGAAATAAAACTAAATATCGTTACTACTAAAGAATCTTAACACAGTATGATTAAAAAAACACTATACACTGTTAAACCTATGCAATTATCTTGGTCTGTAATGGGCTTAACATATTGTACTTACATAAATATTAATGTATATAATTGCTTCAGAATAAGTAAGCTAAATAACTAAAGGCGAATGATAACAGAAATGTAATCTGATAGGATAGTGAAATTATTCCTTGCTTCTGTGAAAGAATGAAAGTCATATTCTCATGAGGGATACAGCCCTTTTCCAGCTAAGCTTACTTTTTCACTCCAAAGTTTCCTCATGGCACTTTTCATTTCTGCATTCCTCAGGGCATAGATTAGTGGTTTCAGCATGGGAGTTATACAAGTTAAAACCACAGTCATGGATTTATCAATGGGAAAGGTGGAGTTGGGCCTTGCAAACAGGAAGATGCAGGGGACAAAGAATAAAGTGATCACAGTGATGTGGGATGCACAGGTGTAGAAAGCTTTGCATTTCCCTTCCAAACTCTGAGTCTTAAGAGAGGGTAATATGACCCCATAGGAAAGCAGGAGAGGGAAGAAGGTGACAGTACAAATCGCTCCACCATTAGCTATCATAGAAAGCCCAGTGACATAGGTATTGGTGCAAGCAAGTTTCAATAAGGGATACAAATCACACAGGAAGTTGTCAATGACATTGGGTCCACAGAAAGGGAGCTGATAAATAAAGAGAAATTGAACCAATGAGTGAAGAAAGCCTCCAATCCAGGCCACCAACAGCATGAGAACACAGACTCGACAATTCATGATGATCAAATAATGAAGAGGCTTACAGATGGCCACATATTGATCATAGGCCATTACCACCAGAAGAATGACTTCAGCACCAGCAAATAAATGATCCATAAAAAGTTGAGCCATACAACCCTGAAAAGAAATGGTCTTTTTCTCAGAGAGCAGGTCAACAATCATTTTGGGAGCAATGGCAGTATAATAGACGGTATGTATAAATGATAAAGAAGCCAGAAAAAAGTACATGGGGGAACCCAGGGACTGGCTGGCCATGATGGTCACCATGATAAGGAGGTTGCCCATTATCGTCACAATGTAGATGAGTAAGAATGTGACAAATAAAACTTTTTGGCCCTCAGGGTTCTGTGTGAGCCCCAAGAGGATGAATTAAGTCAATTTTTCCTATTTTCCATGTGTTCTTCTGAAGGTATTGGACTAAGGTGTCAGAACCTGTAAACAAAAGGGTCAATGATAAATTTGAGATTATTTGTCAGAAGCTCCATGTCAAAAATGTGATGCCTTACTCAACCATGTTTCCCCTGGCGACACAGAGCAGCTCATTAGAAAAGGAGTGTTTAGAATCTCCTCCCACAATTATCCTTTTCATTTTTACAAAATTTATTGTTTTAATTACAATGATGAGGCTTCAGTGTTCTAACTGGAAGGTATGTGTGAGTGGATATATATGTAAGATAATCTACTACACCTCAAAATAGAGATATTTCCAGAGAATGTCTCTTAAAAAGACTGGATTTTTGACATTTATATAGTATTTCCCTTTTTTTTCCCTGAATGGATTTTTCCTTCCATGATCTATCAAGAAAACAGTCTCATATGTGTAGACTTTACTTATATGTTTATGTAAATTAGTACCCAGTATACGGAGCATAAAATTACCGGCTAATGTTTAGATATTTGCCGTTCTGAAACACTCTACTGTGAGCTCCTAGAATCCAGGAATAACTCACTCAAAGAACCAGACACATTGTGAATGCTCACTAAATGTTTATTAAATTTTATTTAATTAAACTGAATTTCAAAGCTGAGAGAGCAAGTGCTTGGAAATAAATGTATTAAAATCTTCCCAGCCATGAAAGTCCAATGAAAGCAATGTTTTATTTGAAAACACACAACACACACACACACACACACACGCACACACACACACACTGAATTTTGATCTATTGCAACCTAGGTCATTAGAGGAAAAAATAAACAGGTAATACAAATCAAAGTGCAGGGGCACTGCATGGACATTTTCCCCACTTTTCACATTTGTTTAAGACTGATGATGCCTAATTACGGATTAATTCACAATGTAAAAATAAAGACTCCAGGCAAAATCATGGTGTAGTAGAAATAATTCTATATGAAAAATCTGAAAATTTTAGTTGATTTTTAGTTTAGTCATCTCGGGAAAATCACATCCCACCATATAATTCCTTATTGCAAATCTAATGATCCTTCCAGATAAATGAGTTTCTGGATTCTTATCATTGACACATGTATCCCAAACAACATGATGACATTTTTGCTGGTAGACCATTTTTATATAAATCAGGCTTAGTATGTGCTAAAGATTATTTGATGATTAAAGTAATCAATACATAAGGGTTTTTTCATATTATTAGTTTGTGGCTATTTGAAATTATGCCAAATATAAAATATTCATTTTCACTTGAGTAAAATAAATCAAATCATCTGTTGGGCATTTCAGATGTGATCCAGGCCCAATTTTATGTGTCATATACACAAGTTTGTATTAGCAGTATTATTTGAAATATGCTCTGTGTTAGTGATGATCATTTGTGATGGTCAGGAGATTATTCTATCCTTTATGCATCAAGGCAAGCCAAGACATACTCAAACATCAGAGAAAGAGTAGACATAAATAAAATAAGAGATAACTTAGCAAAGGCAGATGGAAATAAGTAAAGGCCATAAGCTGAATGAAATATTGGTAAGCATTTTGATTGAGGGACCTGAATGAGTTGAGAATAGAAGAATATCAGATTCCAAGGTTCCTGTCACTCAGGAGGTGGCCTGGAAGGTAACTCAGCATCTGTGTCAGCACTTGCTTCTAGGAATCTTTATACATTTGGGCCAAAGAAAAATGAAAAAATCAGATTTTAAACTTCAGAGATAACTTCCAGTAGGACAATCTCTCCTGTTGACCTTTTTGTACTTATAATACTTATTTGTTTATAGCATTTCAAGTACTCAACAAATATTTCAATTATTAAAATGTTCTTAGGAGCATTACTATTATTCTATTGAAAATTATCACCTCGAATGATTCCAAATTCTGTATTTTATCAATATTCTATATTATGGAAAATATATATCTGATTCAAACATTTGAAAGATTCTTCAAATTTCTTAACATATTCAATGAGAAAGAGTGAATCATTTAAGAAATACTCAAAAAATGTGAATCCAGGATAGGTATTCCACAATAACAATTTTTACAAAATATGAAAACTCGTGTTCTGAAAAGTCTGGTGACTAGGTAAATTTATGGACCTACACATATACCTTATTAGAAAGGGTCATTTAGTGTCTATGGAAAAAGAAGTTATGAATTCCATTAGGTACAAGATCTACAGAAACTTAGGGAAAATGCCAACATCAATTTCTGCCTGTGAGTTAATTACATTAATATGCCCTAATTTTCAGGGTTTTAAAAATGTTGTGAGTAAAACTGGACACATCTTGTTATGTACCCAGTTGATCCCCTAATCTACAAAAAGGTACTTCAGATTAAATTAGTTTTAATGATACATGTCAAAGAGCTACGAAGAAAGACAGCTGGTGAATTTTCACTTGGTAATGTGAATGTTACTTGGGGCATATGCATGAAAGAATAGAAATCACAGACTGAAACAAGTATTTGGACACTGATGTTCATAGCAGAATTATTCACAATAGCCAACAGATGGAAACAACTTAAATGCCCATCAATTAAAGAACGAATAAACATATTGTAGTATATACATACAAGGGGATATTATTCAACCTTAAAAAGCAATGAAATTGTGATAATGCTAGAACATGGGTGAACCTTGAAGACATGCTAAGCCAGACACAAAACGACAAATATGTTATGATCTCACTTTTATAAGACACCACAACAGTGGTTACCAGGGGCTAAGGGGAAGGGATAAGGAAAAATTATTGTTTGATGGGTATGGAGTTTCAGTTTAGGATGATGAAAAGGTTTGGAGATGAGCAGTGATGATGGTTACACAACAATGTGTTATGTGTATTTTACCATAATAAAAAATACCAACACAAATAAAACATCAGGACTTTTTAAAATATTATATACAAGATAAAAATATAAAGAACTGTGGCAATACTTATTATCAATGTATTAAGATGTAAGATAATGATTGTTGTATTCTCTAAATTATATAAAGCAATCTAAATGAAGTCATTATAAATACTAAATATAGTCATGTTATGTTGTGCTATGCATTTTCTGCATTTAAATATGTAATTAAACAATTCTAATTAAAAATTTGGAGAAAATTATTGCCATTGTACTTATTCTAATAATATTCTACAAAATGAAGAAAATGTGTATGCTCTCTTATTCTTGGAGGTTCTGGCATAAAACACTTGAGATTAAATGATAAAGCCTACTTTTTAAGAAAGATACATAACTCATTCAAATAAAGTCAATTTTGCCCCTATCATAATAGCAGTAAAATTTTTTTTTGTAAATTTGTTACCTGGGTTTTCTATTTCCTCCTTGGTCACTTGTTCCAAATCCAGGCTTCTGCAGTTTTTCCTCTGTTCCTAGAAGATTACTGCCTAGTTTGAAGAAGATAATCAGGATTGACACCCTTTTAATACAGGCATGACTGCAAAGAAAGGAAGAGGCCACATGGTCACTAAAGGTGCAAATGTTTTGTCACACAGGGATGTATCTCCTTTTGCCTGAACAAAGCATGATCATCTTCTTCAACTTTTGTAAACATTTTCATTTGGATTATGGGATTATCCAGAGTTGGTTTCAGGAATAAGCAGTTGATATGACTGATGAATCACCACATTGGAAACTTGTCATTGAGAATATATATATTAAAATTTAAAACATTTAAAACCCCATTATTATGTTTACTGATCTTATGGGTTGAACAAACCTTTTATAGCATTCTTAGTCGATAGATACAAGATCTACAGAAACTTAGCATTCTTAGTCATTCTTCATCAATAGGGCATTTTTAGTCAATAGTTCACAAAGATAATCTAAAAACTGGGCTTTGTTTTGAATATTTTAAAAGCACTCATATGTTCATATGGCTGCTTTAGTATGGTTCATGTCTAGTAAGGTAATGGCTTTTATTTTATATTTGACAGTGACATTAATACCTGAGGAGAACTATTCTCCCAGGTAGAGAAGATATGACATAATCAACAATGAACAACAAAATATTTCACTGAGTTGTTCAAACTGTTTGTCCCCAAGGCTGCTTGCTCCAAATTAATTCATGAGGAATCATGCCCCAGAGAACAGAACCCTCTCACATGATCTTTCCAGGGATCTATATTTTTCTATATTTTTAGAAGTTTCTCCTCGACAATTACTTTAGGATAATCAAGTGCAAAAAAATAGCACTGCAACATCAAAGAGAAAGTCCCTTATTAAAAACAAAGACATAAAGTTGCATGAATAAGATTCCTTTGCTTCTGATTAATCAGTATATTTTTGAAATTCTCAACTCTAAGAAGGCACTGGAGTAAAATGGAAAGCTTAAGGTTTTGTGTATGGCAAACATACCTAATGAGAATAGCACAAGACTGTTGCTAATCAACTTACTAAAAGTTTCAATCTAACTCAGATGAGATAACATCCACATGTCAAACCCAACTCAGAAATTTTGTCCAGAGGGGGAAACATCTTTCTTAAAAGGAACTACAGAAACAATTATTTAAGACCTATAATTTTAAAATTATTATTATGAAGTAAAACAAGAAAAAATAAAATTAAATACAGAAATATTTGACACTCAATATTCAGGTGTCTCTTACATAACGATGGAAGCTTCTGAAGTCAGAATCTCTCTACATATCCTCCAAAAAAAATTCAATAAATAAAACACAGCAAGTACATAATGTCACACATAACTAGGACATACAGCATAACTGACACTGAGAATACTACGAATCTCAAGTAACCTCTAAATAGAAAAATTAACATCAAATCCCAGCAGAGAGATCTCTGCAGCTCTAAACAGAGAGAAAAGTGAGGGAACCCTGAAGAGAGTGTAGAGAACAGGAGAGGGAAGTAGGAAGCCCAAAGGAGATGGAGCACAGCCAGAATCACCCACAACATTGTAAGTCACACTAATTTCAAAATCATTAATGAAAGGGGTCTGATGTCTGATAAAGCAGGATGTTGAGCAGAGGGAAATAATGAAAATATGCAGCACCTATGATGATATTCTCCAAAAGGCATGACTTCTCGGGGAAATGATGATGAGTAGCAAGGAAAGGTACTTTTGGGTGACCTCCTGGGAAAGGAAAGTACAGGACCTATAAGAGGAAATTAAAGTCCTGAGGAAACAAAGAAGGATGACAAAATCTAAAGGTATTCTAATTCATCCTTCCTCACTTAAATGTTGTACTATGCTAAAAAAATTATAAAGAAGCCACCTATGAACTAAAAATCTTAGAAGACACCCAAAAACCGTAACTCTTCCTCTATCTATACAGAGCCTTACTTCAGCACTTCAAAATGAACAGAAGACAAAAATCATTGTAACTCCATAGAAAGCTCTGGTAAGAAGAAACCAAAAAAGGAGAATCATAACAATTCAATTCATGACCCCCTCTGAGAGAACCAAGAGCAAAGAACATTTACAAAATTGTGTAGGTTGGGTTCCCAAAAAAGTCGTTTCTGCTAGATTAGTATGCAGGATTTGTTGGTGCATGCTCTAGGGAATAACAACTGTAACAAAGCAATGGATGGAGAGAGATATTAACATGAACATAATTGAATCAAAGGCCAGTATTATAGAAAATTTTGAGGTAGGGGTGGCCTCAAAGATGTCCTAATCAAGGTAAACAGGTTGAAACTTTGTACCCTTAATTCAATCAGTAATTTGATGCAGGCAAAGATAAGCTGGGATGTAGCATGCCTGACAGGTATGGATAAGTTTGGTCTCAAAATAAGGAAATTATTAGATTCAGATTGAAAGGTATTCTGCAAAGCAAATGGGAGATGTTCCTCAAAATGTTAATGTAATAAAAAGTTAAAGAAGTACTAGAAAGCTGTTCACGTTAAAATAAAGCAAAATATCAACTAAATTTAATGTATAACTCTAGATTTGATGCTGAACTCCCCAAAAAATTTCTATAGAAAACATTATTGGGCCCAGGGTGGAGTCACATACCTATAGTCCCAGCTTCTCTGGAGGTTAACGCAGGAAAATTGTGAGTTGAAGCTCAGCCTGGGCAAAATGGTGAGACCCTGTCTGCAAATGGAACAAAAAGTAAAAGAAAACATTATGGAAATAGTTGATGCTATTTGAATACCGACATATAATGGGTAATAGTGTTGTATGGATTTTACTTAATTTGATAATTCTCTGTTTATGCAAGTCAATGTCTTTGTTCTTACAGGATATACATGTTGAAATATTTAGGAGTAAAAGGTCATGCTGTATAATGTCCAAAATATCCAAAACAATCTTGAAAAAGAACTTCCTGGTTTCCCTACTACTGTAAACCACAGTCATCAAGACAGTATGATATTAGGTTAGATGCATGGATCAGTGGAACAGAACTCACTGTTGAAACAAACCCTGGCATTTATTGTCAACTCATTTTTTATAAGGGTGTCAAGGCAAACTGAAGGGGGAAAATAGTCTTTTCAAGAAATGATGATGAAGATATACAACGGGCCAAAAAAATGACAAAATGCTCAACATTACTAAGGATCAGAGAAATACAAATCAAAACTACAATGCGATACCTTCCTCACTCCTGCAAGAATGGCCATATTCAAAAAATCAAAAAAACAGTTGATGTTGTCATAGATGCTGTGAACAGGGAACATTTCTACACTGCTGGTGGGAATGTAAACTAGTACAGCCACTATGCAAAACAGTCTGGAATTGTTTTAAGGAATAAAAGTAGAACTACCATTTGATCCAGCAATCCCACTACTGGGTTCCCCTCCTTGTGTCCATGTGTTCTCATTTTTCAACTCCCACTTGTGAGTGAGAACATGCAGTGTTTGGTTTTCTCTTCTTGGGTTAGTTTTCTGAGAATGATGGTTTCCTGCTTCATCTACCGAGAGGAAAAGAAGTCATTATAAGAAAAGGATACACCCGCATGTTTATAGCAGCACAATTCACAATTGCAAAATCACAGAACCAACCCAAATGCCCATCAATCAATGAATGGATAAAGAAACTCACATATATATATATATATATATATATATATATATATATATATATATATATGAAATATGATGGAATGCTATGCAACCATAAAAAGGAATGACTTAACAGCATTTGAGGTGGCCTGGATTCCAGATTAGACTGGAGATTATTATTCTAAGTGAAGTAACTCAGGATTGGAAAACCAAACATCGTATGTTCTCACTGATATGTGGGAGCTAAGCTATGACGATTCAAAGGCATAAGAATGATACAATGGACTTTGTGTATTTGGGGAGAAGAGTGAAGGAGGGCAAGGGATAAAACACAACCAATATGGTTGTGTTGACTGTGTACAAAAATCTCACAAATTTACCACTAAAGAAATTACTCATGTAACCAAATACCACCAGTACCACCTGTACCCCAATAACTTATGGACAAATAAAAAATAAAACTATCCAGAAATTTCTGCATATTTGAAAATTAAGTAAGTCACTTTTTAAGAACCTATTGGTAAAATAAATTACAATGGAAATTATAAAATATTTTGAGCTTAATGTTTATAAAAATACAACCTACCAAAGCTCGTAAAGTCAGCCAAAATCTTAGTTGTACTAATTAGAAAATGATAAAGACTGAAAAACTAATGAACTAAACGTTCATTTAAGAATTCATTTCATGTAGCATAATGCACTCCAGGTTCATCCATGTTACTGCAAGTGATCTCAAAACATCACATGGTACCCTATACATACATAATATTATTATTCATCAATTAAAAGTGAAATAAAATAATGAAGTTATTCAAGTCCTCCAGGTCCATACACATTGCTAAAAATGGCAGAATTTTCTTATTTTTTAAGGTTGAATAACATTGGGTTACATATATATTTATTGCATAATATTGTATTACCTATATAGGACACAAATTTTGAGCTATGCAGAATGAATAATTCTCATAATCTAAGGTACAGCATAAAGACTACAATTAATAATATCATATTAGGTATATAGATACATATATATCATTCCACATTGGATATGTATTAACTTTACCCACTCATCTTTGACAGACTTTTGTGTTCATATCTTGACTACTACAAATAATGCTGCAGTATACGTGGAAGTGCAAGCACCTTTCAAAATATTGATTTTCTTTCCTTTAAATATATTACAAGAAGTCACATTGCTAGATCTTATTTTTAATTATAATTTTTTGAGGAAACTCCATAGAGTTTCCTATAATGGCCACAGTAATTTACATTTCCATCAATACTGCACAAGAATTCCTTTCTCTACCGAAACATAAATGCCACATAATGTCACATATGTGTGCAATCTAAAAAAAGTCAAACACATAAAAGTCAGAGACTAGAATGGTGGTTGCCAGGGACTGGGACGGAAGAAAATAAGATGTTGGTCAAAGGCTACAAAGTTTCAGTAATGCAGTATGGAATGCAGTATGAATAAGTTCTGAAGAGCTCATGTACAGCATGTTGATCTTAATTAGTAATACATATGGGATACATGAAATTTGCAAGAGAATATATCTTAAATGTTCTTATCACAAATAAAAGTAACTATGTGAGATCATGGACACATTAACTAGTTTCATAGTGGTAATCACTTCACAATGTATACATATATCAAACATTATACTGTACACTTTAAGTACATAAAATATTTGTGAAGAAAACCTCAGTAGCACTAGAAACAACAAAAACAAACTATGTTTGAAAGACTACAACAAAAGACATTACCAATTTGCTTGGTATGGCAAAAGCAGGTGAAACTGGACAAATGCTGCACAGTACTCTTCCTGCAAGGTGATATTGAAGCACTGAGGTGAAGCAAAAGCATCCCGGTGAGCAGTATTTTGAGGATTATGTTTGGTTTTCCACTTCACGTGGAAAGAGAAATAGCCTGAGTTAGGAGTCCACAAAGACTCGGGAACATGGCTAACAGATTTGACAAGATATTGAGGAAATTTGAAATTTAAAAATGAAAAAGAGATTACAAAGCAGTTGGAGTGGTATGGATATCCAAGAATGGGCACCGAATGCACAGTTAGTTTCCCACATAAATGCCTATCAAAGAGAATCTACTGCAGAGGAGGCTTGCAGAAATGTGGTTAGCAACATGAACTATATTTTGGATGTCAGTCAGGCTTTTATTTTATTCCAGTAATCTTTGTAGTCCCTGTGGCAGTGATGAATACTTTACAAGGGCTCAAAGAACATAATCTGCCTTTCACCATGGCTTCTGCGGCTACTGTCAATGCTCAAGGTCCAAAATGCCATCAGCAAGGTCCATCATTGACTCTCTAACATGACACAAATAGCTAGGGAAACCAGCCAACATCCCTCTGCCAGCTTACTTCATTGCAAATCTCAAAGTGCTGGAGACAGCATCTGGTCATTATATTATATATTCTGGTTATATGATTGTCCCAGTGCTTTAGTCTTATTTATTATTCATGGGGATGATTCATTCCCATGGTACAACAATCACCATCATTTCTAACCAGGCGATATCTTTTCTAGTAAATAAAGTAAAGCAAATTACTCAACACCATAGAATTCACCACTATGACTACATTTCCCATCACCTAGAAGCTATTGTCTAGATAGAACATTGGAATGGCCTCCAAAAGGGTGAGTCATGGTGCCACCCTGAACATACCACTCTAAACACTTGGAATGCTTTCTTCTATAGGTCTGACACACTGTATGTGCTCAGTAATTTTAGTCAACATAAACCTTGTGTCACATATATTTACAGAAGATTATCTTCACAGTGATAAACATTCCCAATGCAGCCTAATCAATGTCCTTCTCCATTTCAATATAGACAAGATCAAATTCCACATGTTCCTATGATTATTGACATTTTAATTATCTAGATTCATAATTTTTTAACAAAATTAATTATTTTCTTCAAGAAAAGGACCATATTTCCTGCTTGTACTTTAAGGTTACCTGAACCTAAATATTAACCTGGATGCAAAGAGGGACTGCTCTGAGAAAGGGCATGAGACCTTTATTGAGGTGGATTTCTGCAACGTCTAAAGACACTGAAGGGGCTATCATCTGAATGCTGTCTACTAAACAGAACACCCAACAACTGGAAAAATAAATTCTTCTTTCCTAAATGAAGGGCAAGGCAGAGCCTCTTCATATAGACCATAATATAACCCTTATGCCACTTGAATTTATATATTCTTATACATTACCAGAACAGCTCTTTTAGGATTCTCTTACTTGAGGAGAGCGAGAAGAGAAAGGTTCCATGACAAACTATGTCTCTTGCAACTGAATCTGATCTCAGAGTTGCCACTGCTATTTACCAACTTATTTCTTATCAATTTTTTCCCGTTTCACCTTCCGCTAGCATCTCTGCAGATCTCATAACTTATTGAATGGGATAGTCCAGACTTTCATCCTCAAAATGTCTCATCCCTGTTCATTATACCCATTCAGGAAAGGACTCCTGCACTTTCTCATTTATTATCACTATTGGAAAAGGAAATGGCAACATGTGTTCAAGTAAGTCAATTGGAAGAAAAAAGTATTATTTCTTGCAACCATTGTGTTATAACATCTCCATTCCACATCACAATCAGGTCAATTACCTCTGCCACAGTTGTGGGAAGAGCGCTCTCTAAATCAATACAGATAACAACCCTTCTTGTGATAGGAGAGCCAGATTTAATCCAATATTGTGACTCATGGGACAAAACAAACAAAGAAAAGCCTTCTTTAAAAACATAATTGATCCATTTTATCAACTCACCTTGAATATTTTCATAATATTGAAAAATGAAATTATGTTAGCCTATCAATATTCTTATATTTCACAAAAGTTTGAATTCAGTGTTCTATCATTTGAACCAAAAACATGCTAACAGAAACAGTGCATTTTTAAATGTATTTATGGAATGGTTTTAACTTATATGTACTTTTATTTATTTATCTTTATATTTCAAACAGCACCATAGTATTTTAGTCGTTATACAATTGTAATCTGTCTTATTCAGAATGATTCACTAGTCTTTCAAAATTTTAATTACAAATCTTATATCTTTGGGCTTCCAGTTCAACTTTTAGGATTAAAGGAATATCCAGAATAGTTTCCTTTTATGTGGAAAGAAATACAACATATGTTTGCCATTTTGCCCAAATATATATACTTAGTATAATGCCATAATTTGGTGAAATGAAACTTAGATGTGAACATAATCAAAATAAATTAATTCATTACTTTGATAATATTGTAATAGTTTCTTCCTCAGAAGAAGCAACGTGGAAAAGTATGGGGTCTACAGTAAATATAAGTAGTCAAATGTCACTGATCAGTCTAGTCAACAAACAGAGCTTAGACTAATCATGCAAGATTCTGGGAACAGCATGGCTCGTGACCATCAGAGACATTTCACAAACCTTAGCAATTATACCACTAGATCTCCAACATACAGTGATAAGAAATACATGACAAGGGCTCTAGAAGATTCCTAATGGGAAGTTGCTCATGCAATGTAGTTAGACCCAATAACATAATGCAGTCATTTTTGGAAGTGTATATATGTGAACATATGCAAACTGGAGACTCTTGCAGAAACCTACTCCTGCCACCCTGTGATGATTATTGGGATTTGGGATTCATAATTCCTGATAGAATGTCCAGAGGAAGTCCATTGGAAAGGCAACTAATGAGAAGTTATTGGGCTTTCAAACAGACACAACTTAATGTCATTAGTGTCAAAGCTTAACAAAATATCTTAATAAAATGGAAATAGTATGTATAGAAACATATTTTAGGAGGCGGCTCTGGGAAGTATATCATATTCATAATCATAAATTTCAGAATGAAAGGAACCTCTCACATAAGTTTCCACTCCTGTTGCTCAGTGGTATGAATGCAATTATACATTTCCAGCTTCAAAGATATTTGTGAGTATGGTGCTTATATATTCTACAAAGTCTTCAAGTAAATCACACTGAAGAAAGCACCATCGCCTTCCCTTGTGAACAGGAACATCTATTTAATTGCCTAGACCTCTGTTTCTCCATTGTGTGCTGGGCATGTGGAAGAAATTCCCTGTCTCAATAGATCTGTAAATACAGAAAAACCATAATTTAAAAAGTGCACAATAGAAATTGCACCCAAGGATCCCATCCACACTCAGTCTAGATGTAGAATTTGAGTTCTTGAACATTCAAACAGATGCTATGATGAGATGACATCTCTGTGAGTTGGGAGATTCTAAATCCTGCCTTCCCAACCTAGTATACCTGAATTGCCTTTAGATGTCTAACACTATCCTGGTAAATATGCCATCTACATATACCTCTACTAAAAGAAGAGAAACACCCTTATTATTTATTTATTTTGAGATGGTGTCTCACTCTTTCGAGATGGTGTCTCACTCTTTCACCCAGGCTGGAGTGCAGTGGCACGATCTCAGCTCACTGAAACCTCCACCTCCTAGGTTCAAGTGACTCCTGCCTCAGCCTCCTGAGTAGCTGGGACTACAGGCACGTGCCACTATGCCCAGCTAATTTTTGTATTTTTTAGAAGAGATATTGTCTAGGGTGGTCTCAAATGCCTGACCTCGTGATCCGCCCACCTAAGCCTCCCAAAATGGTGGGATTACAGGCATAAGCCACTGCATGCAGCCAGAACACCCTTATTCTAACTATAGTTCAGGTTTAACACCAGAGTTTCTTCATAGTAATTCTCATTTCTCAATTTCTCAGTGGTTGGATTAATGGATTCAACTTGGGGGTGATAACTGTATAAAACTCAGTAATGAATTTATCAATAGGGAAGTTTGAAACAGGTCTAACATACATGAAAATACAGGGAACAAAAAAGAGGACAACCACAGTAATGTGGGAGCTGCAGGTAGACAGGGTTCTATGCCTCCCTTCTTGACTATAAGTTTTAAGGAAGTTTAGGATGACTCCATAGGAGGTTAGTAGAAGGCAGAAGATGACCACACAGATTGCTCCACCATTGGCAATCACAGTGAGCCCTATAAAGTAGGTGTCAGCACATGCCAGTTCCAGTAATGGGTACATGTCACAGACAATGTGGTCAATGACATTGGAGCCACAGAAAGGGAGACTGTACACAACGACAATTTGAAACATAGAATTCACTGATGAAGATGGCATTGAATTTATAAATTACCTTGGGCAGTATGGCCATTTTCATGATATTGATTCTTCCTACCTATGAGCATGGAACGTTCTTCCATTTGTTTGTAACCTCTTTTATTTCATTGAGCAGTGGTTTGTAGTTCTCCTTGAAGAGGTCCTTTGCGTCTCTTGTAAGTTGGATTCCTAGGTATTTTATTCTCTTTGAAGCAATTGTGAATGGGAGTTCACTCATTATTTGGCTCTCTGTTTGTCTGTTATTGGTGTACAAGAATGCTAGATCAATGGAACAGAACAGAGCCCTCAGAAATAAGGCTGCATATCTACAACTATCTGATCTTTGACAAACCTGACAAAAACAAGAAATGGGGAAAGGATTCCCTATTTAATAAATGGTGCTGCGAAAACTGGCTAGCCATATGTAGAAAGCTGAAACTGGATCCCTTCCTTATGCCTTATACAAAAATTAATTCAAGATGGATTAAAGACTTATACGTTAGACCTAAAACCATAAAAACCCTAGAAGAAAACCTAGGCATTACCATTAGGGACATAGGCATGGGCAAGGACTTCATGTCTAAAACACCAAAAGCAATGGCAACAAAAGCCAAAATTGACAAATGGGATCTAATTAAACTAAAGAGCTTCTGCACAGCAAAAGAAACTACCATCAGAGTGAACAGGCAACCTACAAAATGGGAGAAAATTTTCACAACCTACTCATCTGACAAAGGGCTAATATCCAGAATCTACAATGAACTCAAACAAATTTACAAGAAAAAAACAAACAACCCCATCAAAAAGTGGGTGAAGGACATGAACAGACACTTCTCAAAAGAAGACATTTATGCAGCCAAAAAACACATGAAAAAATGCTCACCATCACTGGCCATCAGAGAAATGCAAATCAAAACCACAATGAGATACCATCTCACACCAGTTAGAATGGCAATCATTAAAAAGTCAGGAAACTACAGGTGCTGGAGAGGATGTGGAGAAATAGGAACACTTTTACACTGTTGGTGGGACTGTAAACTAGTTCAACCATTGTGGAAGTCAGTGTGGCAATTCCTCAGGGATCTAGAACTAGAAATACCATTTGACCCAGCCATCCCATTATTGGGTAAATACCCAAAGGACTATAAATCATGCTGCTATAAAGACACATGCACACGTATGTTTATTGTGACACTATTCACAATAGCAAAGACTTGGAACCAACCCAAATGTCCAACAATGATAGACTGGATTAAGAAAATGTGGCACGTCTACACCATGGAATACTATGCAGCCATAAAAAATGATGAGTTCATGTCCTTTGTAGGGACATGGATGAAATTGGAAATCATCATTCTCAGTAAACACAAGAACAAAAAACCAAATACCGCATGTTCTCACTCATAGGTGGGAATTGAACAATGAGAACACATGGACACAGGAAGGGGAACATCACACTCTGGGGACTGTTACGGGGTGGTGGGAGGGGGGAGCAATAGCTTTAGGAGATATACCTAATGCTAAATGATGAGTTAATGGGTGCAGCACACCAGCATGGCACATGTATACATATGTAACTAACCTGCACATTGTGCACATGTACCCTAAAACTTAAAGTATAATAATAATAAAAAAATAAATAAATTAAAAAAAAAGAAACATAGAATTCAAAATCCTCCAGTCACGGCCACCACCAACAGAAGGATGCAAACCAGTCGATTCACGATGATCAAATAGTGCAGTGGCTTAGAGATGGCCACATAGTGATCATAGGCCATCCCCACGAAAAGAAAGACCTCAACACCACCAAATAGGTGGTCCGCAAATAGCTGGCCCATGCAAGCCGGGAAGGAAACAGTCTTTTTTATCGCAGAGTAAGTCTATCATCAGTTTAGGAGAAAATGAAGTGGAATATACGGCATCCATCAATGACAGGCAGGCAAGGAAGAGTTACACTAGGGAGCCCAAAGAGGGAGGGCAAAAATGGTCACCACAGTGAGCAGGTTGCCCACCATAGTCACAATGTATGTGAATAAAAACATTACAAATAATACTTTTTGCACATCAGGAGCCTGAGTGAGGGCCAGGAGGACAAATTCTGTAACATTGTTACTAGATCCCATTTACTCTTCTCTAAGGCTTGTATCAGAGTTGAGAGCTCAGAAGAGCAGGACCTGTAATGAAACAGTAAACAGGAGCATGAATACATCCATGATGTCACAGAGCACATCTTTATCTGTATGTCTTCAACAGTGGTTTATGCACAATAAACATTTAGTAAGTCTCTACTGAGTTGCTCATCTCCTCAAAGATTATAGGTTGAGCTTACAGGTAACAGCTTCTGTCTCTAAGTTTTAGTGAATATTCTATACAGAAGAAGAGTCAAATGCCCAACAGCCATTCATACTTTCATAACTCCCTATTTAAAACCTGTTTCTTGGCATGACAGATAGCTATGGTGAATAGGCAGCAGATTCTTGGTCTCAAGAAACCTACTTTATGGTGGTGGTAATAAACTCTAAATAAGAAAATTGGCATAGATTCAGTACTTTGAGTTTGTAGTTGTTGTGGTATCTTTACTTTATGATCGGTGTAACATCAAAAATAACATCCTCTGAAATATCTCACTCAGTACTATGGAATTCCACTATTAGACATTTGGTCCTTCATGTCTCAAAGGATGTTCAGTCTTTATGAATATCTCATTAAATGTCAAGAGACTGGACATTAACCTTTATAAATAGTAACATATTATTTATCACATTATTCCCTGTAGCAATTACTTCGTCTGACAATCTTTTCACCTTTTAAGGAGCTGTAAGTCTCTAGATCATATCCTTGCCTATTTCATAATTTTTTGTCACATTTACAACAATATCCTGATTTTCAGTAACTAATTTTGAACTTCAGTGAACTAACTCATGATTATCATCAACTGCCACATTAGTAGTGAGTATTTTTTTCTGAATTCTTGGGGTGAACTAGATAGACTAGATACCAAGAGTACTCAAAAATAGAAACTTAGTGTCTAGATTCCAAAAAAAGCATACTCAAAGAGAAGTTCCAAGTTCACTGTAAGGTGGCATGAATTTCAGTCATTTTCTGAATGCATTTAAAAAATGTGTCTCAATTTTCTTACTGGAAAACAGTGTGATTAAATTAGATAAACTGAGAATCCTTTCCAATCAACCACCTGTGAAACTATTAGTACACCTCTCCCTTATTCTATTCTGCTGATTTTTTTTTATTTTTTATATATTTATAATTAAATAGCAATTTCCAAGCTGATGACTATTACATGAATAATGGTAGTCAGTCCTAGAGGTTTCATGGTTACAGTGAGTAAATAATGACTACAAATTTCTCACTCAATCTGTGCCTATTTAAGATTCAAGGCATTCTTAGAAAGCGTAGCATGTGGTGAATAATGTGGACATTGGAGCCACTCTGCCTCAGCTAAGATCCCAGCTTCACCACTTACTATGTGACTTTGGGCCACTTACCAAACCTCTCTATGCCTCACTTTGATTTAAGACATCTTAGGGTTGTTTTATTACAGAAAAGTAAAGTGCCTAGAACACTGACTGGCACCTCGTAAAGGCTCAGTAAATGTTAGCTCTTACTCATGTTCCTGAATGATTCACTGTGAACATTGGATCAGAACTCATCATCTGGATATCAGTCAATTTGAAAAGATTTATAGACATAGTCCAGGGGAAAAGCAAGAAGACAGCTATATTTCAGGAAAGGCTTTTGGGGAACACAATATAATTGTATGTCTTAGGATTTATCTATTTAATTATGTATGAGTAGTGATTTTATCTGAGATGGAATGTATCTTGACAAGATCAGGCAGAATTATAATGGAAAAATTGGACCCCTCATCAGAGAGAGAGAACTATATGGTAGAAAATAAAGAAAAAGAAGTCAAATCAGAAAACAAAGTAATTATAATAAATAAGCTAATATCCACAGGTAATAAAAATATTAAGTTTAATGTGATAATTAAGGCAAGTAATTTCCTCAAAATCTTCTTCATAAAGATATTTTAGTGAGGAAATACTGGAAGCACAACCTCCTGTGGGTCCTGGGGTGACTCGGGAGGCTTCTTGGGGTAGCCAAACAAACACAGACCAAATCCTAATAAACAAAACAAAACAAACAAAACAAACAAACAAAAAAAAAACAACAAAAAAAAGGAAAGAAAGAAAAGAAAAAAGAAAACTCGGAAGAAAAAAACACATTGATTTCTCAAAGTCTCTAGATCTGATGGTAAAGAGCAAACTTAAATTACAGAGAACAATGGGACAAGTAGAGATACAAACCCAAACTTTCTGATAATTCACTGGTAGGAAAACTGTAGCATTACTACACCTCAAATGTAGATAGGATGATTCCATTTATACACATCTGGGAGTAGAGGAGGATGTGTGCAGAGAGTTTGAGTTTCCTCTAAACACCAACTTTGCTGAACATTCCACATGTCTCCTTCACATTACCACTTCCAGCTGATTCCAGAGTTCTGTCATATTGAAGCTATAGACTGATAGAGACACACCTACTGAAGAACACAGGGGAATAATGTAGTCTGTAGCCAAGTCTATTATTTTTTCACACCTTACTTGCTGCAAGGTTTAGTGTCTTTTTCCCCTTTCATTATCAAAATTAGAATTCAACAGGATAATTCTATTTGGCAATTTAATTGTGTACTTGTAAAAAAATTGGGTATGTAAACTATCCCTCATATTTTACATACTTTAAAATATAATATGTTAAATGCTGAAAGATAGCATTACTAGGCTTTCAATGTAGACTTCTAAATAGCCATTTTTCTAGGAAAAAATTAATATACTTTCCTGAGACCATGCCATTTTCAAAAGATAAAATTCCATAATAACAAAAAATTCTATAATATTATATTTCACAGTCACAATTTTATAAATCTATTTAAATGACAGTAAACTAGGTACCTTCCTGGGCATATATATCTACTAGTATGTTTATTGGTATAATTTTTAGATTCATAAGTAAAAATTCATATTATGCTTCTAGAACATAAAAGGCATTTGTTCCTTTGCACTCTAACACACTTGACATGATCTGGAATTTTAAATTCTCTAACCAAATATGTATAAAATAATTGTATACCTTTATCAGTATATCCTGTAAAATATAACATCTCATAAACTAAGATTATACAACTACTGGTTTATTTATTATACATGTAATATGGGACATGTTTCTCTTCTAATTTAGCAAATGGAAAAAGATAACCAATTAATTAGACTGTATATTAAGACCAAATATACATTGCATATTCTGATAAATTTTCATGTTTGCTAGCTTAATTTTCCCAATTAGAATTTATCTAATAAAACCAGTGGTTTTTAAGACACTAGCTATGTTTCAACATATCACAGGAAATTTCAATAAATATCTCTTGTGAACGATTTCTTACACTCACATCTTGGTCCAGAAAAGCAATGCTTCTTTCAACAAGGATTATTGTAGACACCCCCTGCATCTATGTGTTCTCATAAAACACAGGAATATACGTGGCTAATCCATGGATATAAAATTCATTCCTAGGAGCTACAGTTTCCATAGTTCCACACAGGCTTCTCATTATCTCTGTCTTTAGAGAAGTATAGCACTTCTTTTTAGAGAAGTTTAGCACCAAAACAGAGACCAAAATATAAAGATGTTTTCACATACTGTGAAGATTTACTGTGCAAATGTAATCAAACATTCTCAACTGCTGGAAAATTTCTTCATAGAAAAACAGAGAGAGTATCTCTGCATGACATGGTAAAGTTGACCTAATTAGTGGAAATTAAGCTGCACAATAACATTCATGTGTCCAGTTATTAAGCTTCGTGCCTAACGAGGACAATGCTGAGATTTAACTCCATGGAAAAAACAATGACAGAGCTCAGAGCTTTCTCACAGGCAGAAGCCAAACTTTTCAGTCTTTCAGTCATTCAACTAGCATATCCCTAAGCCCACTTCTTTCCTTAGTAAAAGCACGTCTCTATATCTCCTCAATCTCATCCCAGGAAATTGAGACCTTTCACACATTTTTTTCAAACAATGGAGGATAAGACAAGAAAACATTACACCTAAAGGACTAGAGACCAACTGAAGACATACTCTACCTTGGGCAGAAATATAACTTTTTTGAATCTCCTGGGTTGTTCTATCAGGAAAATAATTCTTCTATTTATGTCTGTAGACAGTCTATAAGTTTCACATCACAATTTTTAGCAAGAGAGAGTAAGGTCATTATAGATTAGTTAATTAGAATATTTGGAACAAATTCAAATGAAGTAACCTCTCTGTAAACTTATTTCTTAGAAAATCCCTAGAGGAAAAAGACTTGACTCTTGCTAAGGAAAGGTAGCTAAATACCAAATAATGTGAAAAGCCTGTAATATAAAAAGAAAATTCTAAACCAAATTGAATAATAAAACATGAGTTTCATGTTACAAAATGTTTAGGTAAGACAAGTAATATTTCAGCCCGAATGAAAGGAAAACCAGCACCAGTTTCTCTTCTCTAAAAATATTCCCGGTAAGGAAGGCCTTACCCTTCCTGTTAGAAAGTCTGTCCCCAAGAAGCCCTGAGGCTCAGAGGCAGAGATCCTAAGAATGGAAGTTGATATTCTGATTCTTGGAAAAATAGGTAATCATAGTGCTGAAGTTGTAGGTTAGAGTACACACTTATTATCAAGAACTGTATTTAGGTAAGATATAACCATAATGATCTGTAGTCCATTGATAGGGTTTGGCTGTGTCCCCACCCAAATTTCAACCAGAATTGTATCTTCCTCATTTTTCTCTTGCCACCACTGTGTAAGAAGTGCAGTTAACCTCCCACCATTATTCTGAGGCCTCCCCAGCCATGTGGAACTGAAAGTCCAATTAAACCTCTTTTTCTACCTAGTCTTGGGTATGTCTTTATCAGCAGTGTGAAAACGGACTAATACATCCATTAACTCATTTTTTAAATTGTATTCAGTATCAATTCAATAACTTTCTACAATAAAGAAATTTTGATTTTCCAACATGGGAGCAGTGTTTAAGGGCTTCCGTTGTTATTTTTGTGACTTGGCTTACCATTGGCTCCAAGGAACACTTTCTTCTCATTATACATTTAGTTAAATATTGGATCTTTATGTCATAAGAGCCTTAGATAAAGAGACCCATAAATACCTATCTGAATGAGCTAAGGTCTCTATCATGTAACGGGCTCCATTAAAAGTTGGTCATTTTCAACTTACCTAATAAATGGATTAAATTCATCTACCCTAAATGTAATATGTACGACTGCTAAAATTTGAAGAATATGCCTAAAAGCACTGTGCTGTTTTACTGGTAAGTGCTAAAAGATGCACAAACATATCTTTAATTCTGAAGAACTATCAGATATAATCAAAGTTTCTGTGGCTTAAATTATGACTCCAAGATGAAAAACTAATATAAAAATAGGACCTTATTCTCTGTTTCTTCCAGCTGAATTCAAATAACTACTAATACCAACACCCAGTGTGCAAGTGGATCCTTCCTCAGCCAAGCTTTCATATGAGCTGGTAGCCCCAAAGGCACCTTGATTACAGCTTTGTGAGAGACTTTGAAGCATGTAAACCTACTAAACCATCCTTAGTTTCCTGACCTACAGAAATTGAGAATGAGTACATATTGTTTGAATCACTAAGTTTTGAAATAATTTGCTATGAATAAATTAATAACTCATAAATATATCTAGAATATGCTTCAAATATTAGGAAACATGTCAGTAAATACTTAGTCAACCGACGGATCCAGGAAAAAGGTACAATGGAAATAAGCCAATATTTAGAACTCAACAATAACAAAAACATACCAAAAAGTGTGAAGTGTGATCAAAACAGTACTTAAAGAAACATGTATAGTGATAAATGCTTACATATAAAATAAATATTTAAAAGCAGTCATCTGAGCCTTCACCTTAAGAAGCTAGAATAAGAAGAGTAAAAAAAAGCCAAGGTAGGTAAACAAAAGGACATAAATTTCAGATCAGAAACCAATAAAATGTAAAACATAAAATAGAGAAAATTAAAATGGCCCAAAATTGGTCCTTTTATAATGAAACTGATAAACTGTTAACAAGAATGTTCAAGAGAAAACAAAGATAAATTCAAATTGCCAGTATCATAAATTATAAAACAAATAATCATTCCACAGAGCCTTTAGACTTTAAAAGGTTAGAAAAGTATGATTGTGAAATACATTATTTCAGTAAAGTTGACAGCTAAGATGCATTAGGCAAAATGCAGGGAAAGGACAACCTTCCTGAAATGTACAAAGAAAAACTAAAACACTCCTATATCTTTCGAATTAATGAGCTACCCTTTCTTGTAGGTAACATGATAGTGTTTCAGAAAACCCTAAAGAATCTACAGACATAACTATGGTTAGAATAAGAAACTTAGCAAGTTTACAGGACCCAACTGTCAAATAAAAAATTCAGTTTTTTTATATGTACCAGCAACAATGACTATTGGAATTTTTAACAATTAAAAACCTGTGATGAAATCCAAAAATACAAAAAGAAATAGATGCGGAAGATCCCTTCACTAACAAAAACTACAAAACTTCAAAAATAAACATTTAAAATTCCTAACAGACATACTCTATTCAGGAATTAGAAAAGCCAATATTGTGAAGATGTTGTTAGTACAAGATGATTTATGGATCCAACTTAAAATGAATAAAACTCCAATATGCTCTTTTTGAGATGTGGACAATCATTCTGCATGCTGCTCTGCAAAGCGACTTTGCCAATTCCCCATGAAGGTTTATGTTCTATTTCTGTAAAACCTCAAATCTGGGGTGCTATGTGACCACTACTGATGAATAGAATATGATGCAAGTGACATTTTGCCAGTTCTTTTAACTGGCTGGACTCACCTACTTTCTACCACTGGGATCTCTGAGTGCCATGTAAAAAGCTTTACTATTCTCTGGAGTGATCTTGTGGTCCTTCATCTAAAAGGATAGGAAGAGGGATCCAGTGCATCACTTACTGTCATCCCTCCCAATAGGCTATAAATGTGAATTAAGTCATCCTACATCTCACATAAAACTCAGTTATCAGCTGAATACAACAGTGACTTCAGTCCTTGCCACACAAAAGATAAGAAATACCCAGCCAACAAGGGCCTGAATTCCTGACTCACAAAATTTTGGATAAAATAAAATGATGGTTGTTTGAAATCACAAAACTGTGGAGCCCTGCACCATACATGAAGAAATCACCAGAATAAAAAGAGGCAACTCAAGGTGTGGTGCTTCCACAAAAACAATTCAAAGTGTATGGAATTGGCTTTAGTACCCCAAAATAGGGGCCTCCAGGATATTGTAAGTAAAGGCTGAAAAGGCAGACATAACTGTTCTGGAGACTGTGAAAAAAGTGAGTCACTAGTGCTGAAAAAATTTAGTAATTCTGTCACTTCTAGTAAGGTAGAGAATAAAAAATGTGCTTAAGTGAATAGGTGGATTTAGCTAAAATTTCCAAATAAAATATTGTAAGTTGCAGCTGTTTCTTATAGCATTGTATCTTACACTATGTCATATATTTTTTTTAAAAAAATAGTAGAGATTAACGGTTACATTGTCAGACAGAATTCACAAGAAACCTAAAAGAGCCAGAACTTGCTGATTTCAAAGATAAAAATGGCTTCCCTTTCCAGTCTCTGCAAAGAGCTAAGTACTCTAAAAGTAAGAAAGGCCATCCAAATAAAAATCATTTCAAAGTTGTGGAGTTTAAGACACTATGAAAAATTTCTGGTGTGTCTCATAAGTACTTTAAGCTACACAAACATAATTATAATATTCTTAAGAGTATTATCTAACTGCACATAGAGTTTCAGCTCAAGTCTGAGAAAGGCGAGTTTCAAAGATATTTGTGAATATGGTGCTTCTATATTGCACAAAGTCTTTAAATAAATTACACTGAAAAACCACCATAGTCTTCGCTTTTGAACAGGAGCATATATTTTAATGACCTATTCCTCCCTTTTCCCATTCTCTGCTGGGCATTTGGGAGAAATACTGTGTCTCAATAAATGTGTAATAGAGAAAAACCATAATTTAAAACATGCACAATAGGACCTGAGCCAAAGCCCCCCATCCACTCTCAGTCTGGATATAGAGGTTGAGATCTTGAAATTCAAACAGATGTCATAATGGGATGATTTCTCAGTTGAGCTCGGAGCACCTAAATCCTGTCTTCCATTGTGGGATCCTTGAATTACCCTTAGAAGTCTGAAAATTTCACTGGGAAGAGCTTGTCTACATACATCCTTATCTACATGAGGAGGGACACTCTTATTCTAACTATAGTTAGCTTCTTACACAACAGGTGTTTTATAGCATTTATCATCTCTGAATTTCTCAACGTGTATAAAAAAGGATTCAGCATGGGTGTGATAAATGTATAAAACACAGTAACGAATTTATCAATAGGGAAGTTTGAGACAGGTCTAACATACATGAAAATACAGGGAACAAAAAAGAGGACAACCACGGTGATGTGCGAGCTGCAGGTAGACAGGGCTTTACGCCTCCCTTCCTGACTATAAGTTTTAAGGGAGTTTAGGCTGACTCCATAGGAGATTAGTAGAAGGGCGAAGATGACCATACACATTGCTCCACCACTGAAAACTACAGTGAGGCCTATAGAGTAGGTGTCAGTGCACGCCAGTTCCAATAATGGGTACATGTCACAGAAAAAGTGGTCAATGACATTGGGGCCACAGAAAGGGAGACTGTACAGAACAGCAATTTGAAACACAGAATGAAGGAAACCTCCAGTCATGGCCACCACCAACAGAAGGATGGAAACCTGTCGATTCATGATGGTTAAATAGTGCAGTGGCTTACAGATGGCCACGTAGCGATCATAGGCCATCACCACCAGAAGGAAGATCTCAGTTCCACCAAACAAGTGGTCTGTAAATAGCTGGCCCATGCAAGCTGGGAAGGAAATAGTCTTTTTGTCACAGAGTAGGTCTACAATCAATATGGGAGAAATGGTGGTGGATAATACAGCATCTATTAATGACAGGCAAGCAAGGAAGAATTACATTGGGGAGCTCAAGGAAGGGCTGACAATAATAGTCACCGCAACGAGTAGGTTCCCCACCACTGTCACAATGTATGTGAGTAAAAACATGACAAATAATGTGTTTTGCATATCAGGATCCTGTGAAAAGCCCAGGAGGACAAATTCTGTAATACTGTTATTAGGTCTCATTTACTCTTCTATCAGGCTTGTATCAGAGGTGAGAGCTCAGGAGAACAGGACCTGTAATGAGATCGTGAACAGGAATATGATTACATCCATTGCACATCTTCACTGTTGTATCCTGAATAGTGATTTACACACGATAAATATTTAGTAAGTCTCTACTGAGTTCCTCACCCAAAAAGCCCATCTTCCCTTGACAAATCTATTTCTCCTCAAAGATTTTAGTTTTAGCCACAGGTAAAGGCTTCTACCTCTAAGTTTTAGTGAATATTCCCTACAGAAGAAGTGTTAAAGTCCCAACAGCCATCCATACATTTTATAACTTCTTTTTTTTTTCTTAATGTTATTTTATTTTTATTTGACAAATAATTGTATATATTTGTGAGGCACAATGTAATGTTATGATACATGTATGCATTGTAGAATGATTAAATCAGACTAACATATCCATCACCTCACATACTTATCAGTTCTTTCTTGTGAGAACATTTAAAATCTACCTTCTGAGCAATTTTGAAATATACAACACATTACTATTAACTGTGGTCACTATGCTGTGCAGTTCTTGCAGCTTCCATTTATTGAGTCAAGAATGTTTCTTACTTTGTATTCTCAGCATGCTATGAGTTATATTCTCCCAAGAACAAGACCAGAATCTTAGAACACTTTAATTTCTTCTTTTTTTTGACACTTCTCCTGTTGATAGCACTTGTAATTTTAATTCTAAATTGTTACTGGAATTTAAGAAATTACAATGCATACTTATTGGTACTTTATCATACATCTTACTGTTTCTTTACTCACCATTACATCTTTGCTTGGTCTTCCTCTTGTATGCATTTTTTTTTATTATACTTTAAATTTTAGAGTACATGTGCACATTGTGCAGGTTAGTTACATATGTATACATGTGCCATGCTGGTGCACTGCACCCACTAACTCGTCATCTAGCATTAGGTATATATCCCAATGCTATCCCTCCCCCCTACCCCCACCCCACAACAGTCCCCAGAGTGTGATATTCCCCTTCCTGTGTCCATGTGATCTCATTGTTCAATTCCCACCTATGAGTGAGAATATGTGGTGTTTGGTGTTTTGTTCTTGCGATAGTTTACTGAGAATGATGATTTCCAATTTATCCATGTCCCTACAAAGGACATGAACTCATTAGTTTTTTTGGCTGCATAGTATTCTGCGGTGTATAGGTGCCACATTTTCTTAATCCAGTCTATCATTGTTGGACATTTGGGTTGGTTCCAAGTCTTTGCTATTGTGAATAATTCCGCAATAAACATACATGTGCATGTGTCTTTATAGCAGCATGATTTATAATCCTTTGGGTATATACCCAGTAACGGGATGGCTGGGTCAAATGGTATTTCCAGTTCTAGATCCCTGAGGAATTGCCACACTGACTTCCACAAGGGTTGAACTAGTTTACAGTCCCACCAACAGTGTAAAAGTGTTCCTATTTCTCCACATCCTCTCTAGCACCTGTTGTTTCCTGACTTTTTAATGATTGCCATTCTAACTGGTGTGAGATGGTATCTCATCGTGGTTTTGATTTGCATTTCTCTGATGGCCAGTGATGATGAGCATTTTTTCATGTTTTTTTTTGGCTGCATAAATGTCTTCTTTTTAGAAGTGTCTGTTCATGTCCTTCGCCCACTTTTTGATGGGGTTGTTTGTTTTTTTCTTGTAAAGTTGTTTGAGTTCATTGTAGATTCTGGATATTAGCCCTTTGTCAGATGAGTAGGTTGTGAAAATTTTCTCCCATGTTGTAGGTTGCCTGTTCACTCTGATGGTAGTTTCTTTTGCTGTGCAGAATCTCTTTAGTTTAATTAGATACCATCTGTCAATTTTGTCTTTTGTTGCCATTGCTTTTGGTGTTTTAGACATGAAATCCTTGCCCATGCCTGTCCTGAATGGTAATGCTTAGGTTTTCTTCTAGTGTTTTTATGGTTTTAGGTCTAACGTTTAAGTCTTTAATCCATCTTGAATTGATTTTTGTATAAGGTGTAAGGAAGGAATCAAGTTTCAGCTTTCTACATATGGCTAGCCAGTTTTCCCAGCACCCTTTATTAAATAGGGAATCCTTTCCCATTGCTTGTTTTTGTCAGGTTTGTCAAAGATCAGATAGTTGTAGGTATGCAGCGTTATTTCTGAGGGCTCTGTTCTGTTCCATTGATCTATATGTCTGTTTTGGTACCAGTACCATGCTGTTTTGGTTACTGTAGCCTTGTATTATAGTTTGAAGTCAGGTAGTGTGATGCCTCCAGCTTCGTTCTTTGGCTTAGGATTGACTTGGCGATGCAGGCTCTTTTTTGGTTGCATATGAACTTTAAAGTAGTTTTTTCCAATTCTGTGAAGAAAGTCATTGGTAGCTTGATGGGGATGGCATTCAATCTGTAAATTACCTTGGGCAGTATGGCCATTTTCACGATATTGATTCTTCCTACCCATGAGCATGGAATGTTCTTCCATTTCTTTGTATCCTCTTTTATTTCCTTGAGCAGTGGTTTGTAGTTCTCCTTGAAGAGGTCCTTCACATCCCTTGTAAGTTGGATTCCTAGGTATTTTATTCTCTTTGAAGAAATTGTGAATTGGAGTTCACTCATGATTTGGCTGTCTGTTTATCTGTTGTTGGTGTATAAGAATGCTTGTGATTTTTGTACATTGATTTTGTATCCTGAGACTTTGCTGAAGTTGCTTATCAACTTAAGGAGATTTTGGGCTGAGACAATGGGGTTCTCTAGATATACAATCATGTCATCTGCAAACAGGGACAATTTGACTTCCTCTTTTCCTAATTGAATACCCTTTATTTCCTTCTCCTGCCTGATTGCCCTGGCCAGAACTTCCAACACTATGTTGAATAGGAGTGGTGAGAGAGGGCATCCCTGTCTTGTGCCAGTTTTCAAAGGGAATGCTTCCAGGTTTTGCCCATTCAGTATGATATTGGCTGTGGGTTTGTTATAGATAGCTCTTATTATTTTGAAATACGTCCCATCAATACCTAATTTATTGAGAGTTTTTAGCATGAAGGGTTGTTGAATTTTGTCAAAGGCCTTTTCTGCATCTATTGAGATAATCATGTGGTTTTTGTCTTTTGCTCTGTTTATATGCTGGATTACATTTATTGATTTGTGTATATTGAACCAGCCTTGCATCCCAGGGATGAAGCCCACTTGATCGCAGTGGATAAGCTTTTTGATGTGCTGCTGGATTTGGTTTGCCAGTATTTTATTGAGGATTTTTGCATCAGTGTTCATCAAGGATATTGGTCTAAAATTCTCTTTTTTGGTTGTGTCTCTGCCAGGCTTTGGTATCAGAATGATGCTGGCCTCATAAAATGAGATAGGGAGGATTCCCTCTTTTTCTATTGATTGGAATAATTTCAGAAGGAATGGTACCATTTCCTCCTTGTACCTCTGGTAGAATTCGGCTGTGAATCCATCTGGTCCTGGACTGTTTTTGGTTGGTAAGTTATTGATTATTGCCTCAATTTCAGCTCCTGTTATTGGTCTCTTCAGAGTTTCAACTTCTTCCTGGTTTAGTCTTGGGAGAGTGTATGTGTTGAGGAATTTATCCATTTCTTCTAGATTTTCTAGTTTATTTGTGTAGAGGTGTTTGTAGTATTCTCTGATGGTAGTTTGTGTTTCTGTGGGATTGGTGATGATATCCCCTTTATCATTTTTTATTGGATCTATTTGATTCTTTTCTCTTTTTTTCTTTATTAGTCTTGCTAGCGGTCTATCAATTTTGTTGATCCTTTCAAAAAACCAACTCCTGGATTCATTAATTTTTTGAAGGTTTTTTGTGTCTCTATTTCCTTCAGTTCTGCTCTGATGTTAGTTATTTCTTGCCTTCTGCTAGCTTTTGAATGTGTTTGCTCTTGCTTTTCTAGTTCTTTTAATTGTGATGTTAGGGTGTCAATTTTGGATCTTTCCTGCTTTCTCTTGTGGGCATTTAGTGCTATAAACTTCCCTCTACACACTGCTTTGAATGTGTCCCAGAGATTCTGGTATGTTGTGCCTTCATTCTCATTGGTTTCAAAGAACATCTTTATTTCTACCTTCATTTCGTTATGTACCCAGTAGTCATTCAGGTGCAGGTTGTTCAGTTTCCATGTAGTTGAGTGATTTTGAGTGAGATTGTTAATCCTGAGTTCTAGTTTGATTGCACTGTGGTCTGAGAGACACTTTGTTTTAACTTCTGTTATTTTACATTTGCTGAGGAGAGCTTTACTTCCCAGTATGTGGTCAATTTTGGAATAGGTGTGGTGTGGTGCTGAAAAAAATGTATATTCTGTTGATTTGGGGTGGAGAGTTCTGTAGATGTCTATTAGGTACGCTTGGTGCAGAGCTGAATTCAATTCCTGGGTATGCTTGTTGACTTTCTGTCTCATTGATCTGTCTAATGTTGACAGTGGGGTGTTAAAGTCTCCCATTATTAATGTGTGGGAGTCTAAGTCTCTTTGTATGTCACTCAGGACTTGCTTTATGAATCTTGCTGCTCCTGTATTGGGTGCATATATATTTAGGATAGTTAGCTCTTCTTGAGGAATTGATCCCTTTACCATTATGTAATGGCCTTCTTTGTCTCTTTTGATCTTTGTTGGTTTAAAGTCTGTTTTATCAGAGACTAGGATTGCAACCCCTGCCTTTTTTTGTTTTCCATTGGCTTGGTAGATCTTCCTCCATCCTTTTATTTTGAGCCTATGTGTGTCTCTGCACGTGAGATGGGTTTCCTGAATACAGCACACTGATGGGTCTTGACTCTTTATCCAATTTGCCAGTCTGTGTCTTTTAATTGGAGCATTTAGTCCATTTACATTTAAAGTTAATATTGTTATGTGTGAATTTGATCCTGTCATTATAATGTTAGCTGGTGATTTTGCTCGTTAGTTGATGCAGTTTCTTCCTAGTCTCAATGGTCTTTACATTTTGGCATGATTTTGCAGTGGCTGGTACCAGTTGTTCCTTTCCATGTTTAGTGCTTCCTTCAGGAGCTCTTGTAAGGCAGGCCTGGTGGTGACAAAATCTCTGAGCATTTGCTTGTCTGTAAAGTATTTTATTTCTCCTTCACTTATGAAGCTTAGTTTGGCTGGATATGAAATTCTGGGTTGAAAATTCTTTTCTTTAAGAATGTTGAATATTGGCCCCCACTCTCTTCTGGCTTGTAGGGTTTCTGCCAAGAGATCCGCTGTTAGTCTGATAGGCTTCCCTTTGAGGGTAACCCGACCTTTCTCTCTGGCTGCCCTTAACATTTTTTCCTTCATTTCAACTTTGGTGAATCTGACAATTATGTGTCTTGGAGTTGCTCTTCTTGAGGAGTATCTTTGTTGCGTTCTTTGTATTTCCTGAATCTGAACGTTGGCCTGCCTTGCTAGATTGGGGAAATTCTCCTGGAAAATATCCTGCAGAGTGTTTTCCAACTTGGTTCCAGTCTCCCCATCACTTTCAGGTACACCAATCAGACATAGATTTGGTCTTTTCACATAGTCCCATATTTCTTGGAGGCTTTGCTCATTTCTTTTTATTCTTTTTTCTTTAAACTTCCCTTCTCGCTTCATTTCATTCATTTCATCTTCCATTGCTGATACCCTTTCTTCCAGTTGATCGCATCAGCTCCTGAGGCTTCTGCATTCCTCACGTAGTTCTTGAGCCTTGGTTTTCAGCTCCATCAGCTCCTTTAAGCACTTCTCTGTATTTGTTATTCTAGTTATACATTCTTCTAATTTTTTTTCAAAGTTTTCAACTTCTTTGCCTTTGGTTTGAATGTCCTCCCGTAGCTCAGAGTAATTTGATCATCTGACGCCTTCTTCTCTCAGCTCGTCAAGGTCATTCTCCATCCAGCTTTGTTCCATTGCTGGTGAGGAGCTGTGTTCCTTTGGAGGAGGAGAGGCGCTCTGCTTTTTAGAGTTTCCAGTTTTTCTGTTCTGTTTTTTCCCCATCTTTGTGGTTTTATCTACTTTTGGTCTTTGATGATGGTGATGTACAGATGGGTTTTTGGTGTGGATGTGCTTTCTGTTTGTTAGTTTTCCTTCTAACAGACAGGACCCTCAGCTGCAGGTCTGTTGGAGTACCCTGCCGTGTGAGGTGTCAGTGTGCCCCTGCTGGGGGTTGCCTCCCATTTAGGCTGCTCGGGGGTCAGGGGTCAGGGACCCACTTGAGGAGGCAGTCTGCCCATTCTCAGATCTCCAGCTGTGTTCTGGGAGAACCACTGCTCTCTTCAAAGCTGTCAGACAGGGACATTTAAGTCTGCAGAGGTTACTGCTGTCTTTTTGTATGTCTGTGCTCTGCCCCCAGAGGTGGAGCCTACAGAGGCAGGCAGGCCTCCTTGAGCTGTGGTGGACTCCACCCAGTTCAAGCTTCCAGGCTGCTTTGTTTACCTAAGCAAGCCTGGGCAATGGCGGGCGCCCCTCCCCCAGCCTCGCTGCCGCCTTGCAGTTTGATCTCAGACTGCTGTGCTAGCAATCAGTGATACTCCCTGGGCGTAGGACCCTCCGAGCCTGGTGCGGGATGTAATCTCGTAGTGCGCCGTTTTTAGGCCCATCAGAAAAGGGCTGTATTCGTGTGGGAGTGACCCGATTTTCCAGGTGCCGTCCATCACCCCTTTCTTTGACTCAGAAAGGGAACTCCCTGACCCCTTGTGCTTCCCAAGTGAGGCAATGCCTCGCCCTGCTTCGGCTCCCGCACGGTGCGCGCACCCACTGACCTGCGCCCACTGTCTGGCACTCACTAGTGAGATGAACCCGGTACCTCAGATGGAAATGCAGAAATCACCCATCTTCTGTGTCGCTCACGCTGGGAGCTGTAGACCAGAGCTGTTCCTATTCGGCCATCTTGGCTCCTCCCTATAACTTCTTATTTAAAACATATTTCTTGGCACAGAAGTCAGCTATGATGAATAAGCAACAGGTTCTTGGTCTCAGGAAACTTACCTTATGGTAGTGACAATAAACTCTAAATAAATAATTTGACATAGATTTAGTCCTTTGTGTTTGTATTTGTGGTATCTTTATGATATGATCTGTGTAGCACCAAGAATAACATCTTCTGAAATATCTCAATCTGTACTTCTACTGCCTTCTACTGTTAGACTTCATTCCTTCATGCCTTGAAGGATGTTCAGTCTTCACTCGTCTTTCATTAGACAGGACTCTGAACTGTAAAAATTGCTGTGATATTATTAATTACATTGTTCCCTATAGGAATTACTTGGTCTGACTCTCTGTCTATCTTATAAGGAGCTGGGATTTATCCTTGCCTATACCACAATTTTTACAACACTTACGTACAATATTCTAATTTTCAGCAATTAATTTGAACTCAAGTGAACTAACTCATGACTGTCACCAAAAACCAAATATGCCACGAGTATTTTTTCTGAATTCTTGGGTTGAGCAAGGTAGTGAGAGAGGAGAAAATAGACACTGTAGAAAGAGGTACAGAACAGTGGGACATGGTTTTATTCACAGCACTATTTGGATACAGAGAGTACTCAAAAATAGAATCTTAGTTAGCAGATTCCAAAATGAAGCATACTCTAGGACACATTCCAAGTTCAGTGTAAGAAGACATGGATTTGAGTAATTTTCTGAATACATTTACAAGTCTGTCTCAGTTTGCTCACTGGAAAACAATGAGATTAAATTTGAGAAATTCAGAATCCTTTCTAGTCAACTATCTACAGAAATATTAGTGTACCTCCCCTTTACGGTATTCTGCTGACAATTTTTTTAATTTTTTAAAAAATTATAATTAAATAAAAATTGCAAATCTCATGACTCTTACATGAAAAATGGTAGTCAGTGGGACATGGGGTTTCATGACTACAGTGAGTAAATAGTGACTGGAAGTTTCTCACCAAGTATGTACCTATCTAGGTAAGATCCAAGACATCCTTAGAGAGAAACTGTAGCACGTGGTGGATGATGTGGACACTGGAGCCACACTGCTTCAGCTACAACTTCAGCTTCACTATTTTTATGAGATTTTTGGCCATTTACAATTCTTGGCCATTTACTAAAGCTCTCTGTCCCTTACTTTCATCAATTTAAAAATGGGGATCCCTGTCCTTACCTCGTAGATTTGTTGTTTTATTAAAACAAAGTAAAGTGCCTAGAATAATGGCTGGTACCTGAGAAGGGCTCAATAAATGATAGCTATTATTAATGATCCTGAATACTTCACCATGAACATAGGATCAGAACAAATCATGCAGATCTTTATCAACTTGAAAAGATTTATAGACATAGTCCAGGAGAAAAAGGATAAGATACCTATAATTCAAGAAAAGCTTTGCGGGGCACACAATAAAATTGTACGCCTTAGAAAATAATGATTTAGTTATATGAGTAGTAATTTTACCTGTGATGGAATTTATCTTGATGAGAAGCAACCAGATGAATAGTGAAAAAGTTGGAAGCACCATCAGAGAGACCTCAGAAAATGAAAAGAAGGCTAAACTCAGAAAACAGAGAAACTGTATTTAATAAATGAGTATTCACACACTATAAGAAGATTAATGAGATAAGTGAGGCCAGTATTCTTTTAAAATCTGCTTCAGAAAGATCCCTTTTAGTGAGGAAATACTGAAAGTGTTACCTCCTGTGGGTTCCTGGGGTGACTCAGGAAGTTTTTTGGGATGGAGAAACACAGACAGGATCCCAGTTAAAAAAAGAAAACATTCAAAAAAAAAATTATTCCTGAAAGTCTCTAGATCTGACAGTTATGGACAAACTTAAATTACAGAGAACAATGGGTCGAGTAGAGATACAAACTTAAACTTTCTTATTATTCACTGCTGAGGAAAACTGCAGAATTACTACATCTCAAATGTAGACAGCATGATTCCATTTATAGAAATCTTGCAGTGGAAGAGGACGTGTGCAGAGAGAATTTGAGTTGTCTCTAGAAGACAGCTGTGATGAACATTCCACATGACTCATTCATATTACCACTTCCAGCTGATTCTAGATTTCTGGCATTGCTGAAGTTATAGACTGATATAAACAAACCTGCTGAAAACACAAGTGAATATTGTAGTTCATAGCCAATTCTGGTATTTTCTCACACCTTACTTTTTGCAAGGTTTAGTGACTTTTCCCTATTTCATCATCAGAACTAGATTTCAACAGGATAATTCTTTTGGCAATTTAAATGTTTACTTGTAAAAAATAGGGTCTGTAAACTATCCTCTAGAATTTAAGTAATTAAAAATAGAATACTTTAGAAACTGAAAGATAGCATTACTAGGTTTTCAATGTAAACTGCTAAGTTAACATTTTTCTAGAAAAAAAGATTTAACATAGTTTCCTAAGAACATGACATTTTCAAAAGATAGAATGCCATAAAAACAAAAAAAAAACCTCTATAATATTTATTTCACAGTCACAGTTTTATGAATCTATTTAAATGACAGTGGACTAGGTACTTTCCTGAGCATATATATTTATGAGTATGTTTGCTAGGATTATTTTTGGATTCATAAGTAAAAATCCACATAACAGGCATTGCTTCCTTCACACTCTAACACACTTGAAATGATCTGCAATTTTAAACTCTCTAATGAAATATAGCTGAAAGTGATTGTACACATTTATTAATAAATCATATAAAATATAACATCCCATAAATGAAGATTATAAATCCATTGGTTTATTGTACATGTAATATGGAACATGTTTTTATTATTTGGCAAAGAGAAAAGGAAAATATAAGCCATATATTAAAACCAACTATAAATTGTATATTCCAAAAAATTTTCATGTTTGCTAGCTTAACTTTCCCAATTAGAATACCTTCAACAAAATCATATGGTATTTAAGACATTAGCCACATTTCAACATGTCACATGAATTTTCAATGAATATCTCTTGTCAGTGGTTTCAAATACTCACATCGTGGTCCAGAAAAGCAAAGCTTCTTTCACTAAATGTTAATGAAGCTACCTCAGGCATGTATATGTGATCCTAAAACACATGGATATGGATGGCTGATCCATGGATAGAAATAGTGCCTAGAGACTACAGTTTCCACAGTTACACACAGGCTTCTCATTATCTTAGTCATTAGAGCTGCTTGGCACCATCCAAAGCAGATGATCGAAATATGAAGAAGCTGAAACAATGTAGAAAAGTAGTTAAATATTCTTACCTGCTGGAAAAATTCTTCATAGAAAAACAAAGACACTGTCTTTTCATAACTATGCAAAAATTCACCTAATTAGTGGAAATTAACCTGGAAAATCCCCTAATTTGTAACACAAGTAAAACAAAAATTTACCAACATTAAAATTTGTTACGTGAAACTTATCTCAATTATGGCAAAGCAACCATAAGTACTTTACTGTGATTGAGTATTTATGATAACATTCATCTGCCCAGGTATTACACTTTGTACCTAACAAGGACAATGCTGAAATTTAACTTCATGGAAATAATCAATGATAGAGCTTTCTTACAGGCAGAATCTAAACTCTTCAGTCTTTCAGTCATTCAAGTATCATCCAAATAGCATACCTCTAAGTCCACATATTTTCTAATCAAAAATGTCCCTATATCTCCCCCACCTCATCCTAGTAAACTTATAACTTCCACAAATTTTTATAAGAAATGGAGGATATGACAAGAAAATATCACACCTAGAGGACTTGATACCAACTGAAGACATACTCTACCTTGGGCAGAAATTTAACTCTTCAGATATCTCTTGGGCTATTCCATCAGGAAAATAATTATGTGTAGACACAATCTATGACTTTTACATCATCACTGTTTTAAATAAAAGAGACAGTAAGGTTATTATAGGTTAGTTAATTCAAATATTTGGAATAAATTCACATGAAGTAATCTCTCTGAAAACTTTTATTCCCCTTAGAAAATCCCTAGAGGAAAAAGACTTGTGTCTCATCAAGGAAGAGTAGCTAAATGCCAAGTAAAGTCAAAAGCCTTTCATGTGCAAAGAAAAATTCTAAAGTAAATTGAATAATAAATTATCAGTGTCATATTATGAAATACTGAAGTAAGGCAAGTAATACTTCAGCCAGAATAAAGGGAGAAGCAGTCCCAAGTTCTCTTCCCTAAGCATTTTCACAGCAAGGAGGGCCTTACCCTTCCTGTTAGAAAGCACAACCCAATGAGCCCTGAGCCTCAGAGGCACAGAGACTAAGAACAAAAGTTGACATTCTGATTCTTTGAAAGGTAGGTAATCACAGTTCTGCAGTTTTAAGTTAAAATACAGACTTTTGTTCAAGACCTGAATCAATGTCAGATATAATTATAATAATCTGTAGTCCATTAATTCAATCCTTTAATTTTATTCTAGTATCAATTCAGTAACTGTTTCTTCAATAAAGAATTTTTTTTTGGCAATAGGGAGCAGTACTTAAGAGCTTCCACTGCTATATTCATTACTTGGCTTACCATTGGCTTCATTGAACACCTTCATCTCAGCATACGTTTAGTTAAATATCAGATCTTCTGGGTCATAAGAGCCTTAGAGAAAGAGTCCCATAAATACTTATCTGAACCAGCTAAGGTCTTTATCATGTAACGAGCTCACTAAAAGTTTGTCATTTTCAATTTATGTAATAAATGGATTAAATTAATTCACACCAAATGTAATACATGTCACTTCAAAAATTAGAAGAGCATGTCCATAATCACAGTGCTCTCTTATTGGTAAGTGGTAAAAGATGCACAAACATATCTTTAATTATGAAGAGCTATCAGATATGATCAGAGATACTGTGGATTAAATTATGACTCCAAGATAGAGAAATAATATAAAAATAAGCCATAATTCTCTATGCCCCTTCTAGCTGAATTCAAATACCTACTAGTGCTTTCCACTTTTCTAAATGACACAAAAATATTTGTTAGATCAGATGATGCCTACAACAGCCCAGAATCTGAATTAATTAGCTCCAATAATAAAAAATACATCAAAAATATCAACTAACATAGAAATTGCCAAAAATATCCCATAGTCAATAGTAATTCTCTGCAGTCCCTATCTATTACCAAATTAGAATGTTAAATATAGATACAATGTATATTTCTTTATAAAAGGAGAAATGCATATGTATTAGTCCATTCTCACGTTGCTATAAGGAAATACTCGAGACTGGTAATTTATAAAGAAAAGAAGTTCAATTGAATCACAGTTCTGCATGGCCAGGGGTCCTCAGGTAACTTACATTCATGCCTCTTCACAGGGCAGGAGGAGAGAGAATGAGTGCCAGCCGAGGAAATGCCAGACACTTATAAAACCATCAGAACTCATGAGAACTTGCTCAAGATCATCAGAGCAGCATGTGGAAACTGCCCCCACGATTCAATTACCTCCCACCTGGTCCCTCCCAGGACACAAAGGGATTATGGGGATTACAATTGAAAATGAGTTTTGGGTGGGGACATAGCCAAACCAATCAGCATGTTATGTAGTCCCAGCTATTTTTAAGACTGAGGTGGGAGAATCCCTGGACCCCAGGAGTTTGAGTCCAGCTTGGTCAAAATAGCAAGACCTTGTCTCAAAAAAGAGAAAGAAAGCTAGAGAGCAGAACCTCGCATTTGGAGTCTCTTTTCTCTAAAACTATGAAATAATTCTAAAAGCCATAAATGATAGCCTAAAAAGCTGGGGGAAAATTTCTGTAGATGCATTACCCTAAGTGAAAACATGTAAAAATTGAAGGTCTACCAAAGAAAAAAGTCCTTTGTAAACAACAAGGCTTTCATTTGAGACCGCAAGGGGATTTACTCTTGGAGTAGGAATGCACAGACATAGGTGCAGTCCTCAAAGGAACTGAAGTCCAACTTGCATTATCTAATTTCTTGATTGATTTAAGACGATCTGGGATTATTTTACTTCTCCAATTCCAACTCTCAAGTAGAAACATAGGAAATTCCCTGTTAAAAAAGATCCAAAAAAATTCTTGAATTGCCTTTTTTACATTCCATATGCAAAATTGGAAATCAAAAAAAGTAACAAAGTATAGAACACATGACCTGATTGATGGGAAGTGCAATAAAAACAAACATAGATGATCCAAATAATGAAAAATAAGCATTTTTAGATAAACTTAGTATGTACAAATATCAAAACACAAGAGAGATAATAAAATAAACCAAATGAATTGAAAACTAAAATATACAATGATGAATCAAAAACTCAATGATTGAATTTAACAGCAAATTAGAGACAAAAAATTAGAGAATTAGTAAATTGCAAGAAATACTAGGAGAAAATATGCAGACCAAATCAGAGAACAAAAAAAGCCAATGAAGAAAATAGAATAAAAGAGATATAAAGGATGCAGTACAAAACTCCGCCATACTTTTAATTACGATTTTAGAAAAAGAAGAGAAAAATAATAGCTGAAAATTCTCTAAAACTACTGAAAATATTGTTATGAATGTATAAGGTGTTAAAAGTTTCATGAAAATGAATTTTAAAAAATAATTTGTTTAAAAAGGATAAACAGAAAAGGGACAGCAGAATAAAAGCAAAATACAGACAAAAATTTTAAGAACATACTGAATTCAAGGAAATAATAATAAAGCCAGGTGCAGTACCTCATGCCTGTAATCCTAGTATATTGGGAGGCCGAGGCAGGTGGGTCATTTGAGGTCAGGAGTTTGAGACCAGCGTGACCAACATGGAGAAATCCGGTCTCTACTAAAAATACAAAATTAAATGAGTGTGGTGGCTGGTGCCTGTAATCCCAGCTACTTGGGAGGCTGATGCATGAGAATTGCTTGAACCTGGAGGCGGAGGTTGCAGTGAGCCAAGATGGCACCATTGCATTCCAGCCTGGAGGACAGATTCCAGACCCTCTCTCAAAGAAAAAAGAAAAAAAAAAGAAAGAAAATAAAATACTATGATAACAGACAATTTCTTAAAAGAAGCAGTGAAAACCCCTCATGTTCTCACTCATAGGTGGCAATTGAACAATGAGAACACATGGACACAGGGTGCGGAACATCGCGCACCGGGGCCTGCCGGATGGTGGGGGGAGGGATAACATTAGGAGATACACCTAATGTAAATGACGAGTTAACGGGTGCAGCAAACCAACATGGCACATGTATACCTATGTAACAAACCTGCACGTTGTGCACATGTACCCTAGAACTTAAAGTAAAATAATAAAAATAAAAGAAAACTAGAAGACTAAGGAAATACACCTTCACAGTGCTAAATGAATATTAATGTCAACATAGAATCCATTCAAAATCTCACAGAAGTCAATGTAAAATGCAGAGTTTTCTGATTTAAAAACGTACTTAAGAGATTCTAGAACCAGCCAAAAACCACAGAATAAGAGCTCTAAAAAAACTGATCTCAGGGAAGAAGAAAAAAGCTTTGAAATAGAAAAAAAGAAAATGCAAGAAAAAAGGAAAACTAATTGAAACAAGAAATACAGGAATAAATAAAATGAATATTAATCATATGTAACATTAATAAATACAAAACCAAGGGAATTAAATATATGTTGGATTTAAATCCAAATGCAATATATAATTGGTATTGAATAAAACACAATATATTCTATTATGAAATATTATTGCATTATATATACAAACACAAACGGCAAAATATACACATTTTTATTTATGTTGGATTTATATCTAGCATATAATTAATTTTTTAATCAGCAAATTTCTCCTATTTAAGAAATAGAACACAATGTTAAGACTCTTATAAGAGAAACATCTTAAATAACAGGATTAAAAGATAAAAATAAAATAATAGAATAAACTCATAAACTGACCAAAAGAACACTGTTTCTATGCTAATAGCAGACAACACTGGACTTCAAGGAAAGAAATATTGCCAGAAATAGACTTTTGTAATGGCAAAGGATTAGTAACATGAAGATAAAATTTTAAATTTTTGTGTACCTAAAAATAACACTTTTTAAGTTATTTTTTAATAATAGATTGAACTAAAAGAAGAAATAGTCAAATCAGCAATAATACAGGAAAAGAATTAATAAATTTGACCCATTGACATAAGAGTCCACCACATCCAACAGCTGCAAAATATACATTCTTTTTAAGTGCATATGAAACATTTTCCAAAACCAATCATATGCTGGTTCATAAAGCAATTATCAATGGATTTCAAAATATTATAATAATAAAATATGTGACTGAACATCAAGAAAATCAGCTAGAAAATAAAAACCTAAATTAGCCAGACATTTTCTGTATATCTCAAAATTAAACAATCCAGTTCCAAATTATCCATTAGTAAAAATAAATTACAGAAGTTAGAAAATACTTTAAACCTAATGATAATGAAAACACAACATAGCAAATCTTGTAAGACTCATCTAAAATATTACTTGTATTTGCTAGAAAATAATAAAGACTGAAAATCAGAGCACTAAATATCTATTTAAGAAATCATTCCACTTAGCATAATGTCCTCTAGGTACGTTTGTGTTATTGCATATGACATAAAAACCTCACAGTGTACCCCACAAATACATACAATTACTGTTTGTCAATTAAAAACAAAAAAAAACAGAGAGGTTATTAAGACCTCCAGGTTAATTCATGTTGTCAAAAATGACAGAATGTTCTTTTGAAGGGTTGAATAATATTCTATTATGAAATATTATTGCATTATATATACAGACACAAAGGGCAAATGATACAAATTTTTATTTATGTTGGATGTAGAAGTACTGGTGATGTAAGGTACAGCATGAGGTCTGTAGTTAATAATACCATATTTTATGTACGTATATGTGTGTGTGTGTGTAGATAAGATAAATGATAGGTATGTAGGTAGATAATATATATTTATATATATATATATATATATATATATATATATATATATATGATGGAATACTACTCAGCCATAAAATGGAATGAATTAACAGCATTTGATGTGGCCTGGGTGCGACTGGAGACTATTATTCTAGGTGAAGTAACTCAGGAATGGAAAACCAAACATTCTATGTTCTCACTGATATGTGAGAACTAAGCTATCAGGATGTAAAGGCGTGAGAATAGTACAATGGACTTTGAGGACTTGGGGCGAAGAGTGGGAGGAGGGCAAGGAATAAAACACAACCAATATAGTTGTGTGGATAGTGTACAAAAATCTCACAAATCACCACTAAAGAAACTACTCACATAACCAAATACCACCTGTACCACCTATACCCCAATAATTTATGAAAAAATAAAAAATGAAATTATCCAGAAATTTCTGCATATTTGAAAATTAAATAAATTACTTTTTAACAAGCTTTTGGTAAAATAAATTATAACGGAAATTAGAAATTTTTTTGAGCCTAATGTTTATAAAAATACAACCTACCAAAGCTCCTCAAAGTCAGCCAAAATCTTAGTTCTTAATTAGAAAATAATAAAGACTGTAAAACTAACACACTAAATGTTCATTCAAGAACTCATTTCACGTAGCAAAATGCGCTCCAGGTTCATCAATATTATTGCAAGTGATCTCAAAACATCACATGGTAACCTATGCATACATAATATTATTATTCATTAATTAAAAGTGAAATAAAATAATGAAGTTATTAAAGTCCTCCAGGTCCGTAGACATGGTCAAAAATGGCAGGATCTTCCTCTTTTTTAAGGTTGAATAATGTTGGGTTATATATATATTTATTGCATAATACTGTATTACACATAGGACACAAATTGTGAGCTATACAGAATGAATACACTCTAGTAATCTAAGGTACAGAATGGACTATAATTAATAATATCATATTAGGCATACAGATACATATATATCATTCCACACTGGATATGTATTGTCTTTACCAATTCATCTTTGATGAACTTTTGTTTTCATATTTTGACTACTATGAATAATGTTCCACTATACATGGAAGTGCAGGCATTCAAGATATTAATTTCATTTCCTTTACATATATTACAAGAAGTCATATTGCTAGATGATATTTTTAATTATAATTCTATGAGGAACCTCCATAGAGTTCCCTATAATGGCCACAGCAATTCACATTTCCAACAATACTTCACAAGAGTTCTTTTTTCTACTGAAACATAAATGCCACATGATTCACTTATGAGTGCAATCTAAAAAAAGTCAAACTCACGAAAGACAGAGACTAGAATGGTGGTTTCCAGGGACTGGGTCTGAAGAAAATGAGGATTGCTGGCCAAAGGTTACAAAGTTTCAGTTATGCAGTATGTATAAATTCTGAAGAGCTCAGGTACAGCGTGTTGATCATAATTAGTAATACATATTGGATACATGAAATTTGCTAAGAGAATATACCTTAAATTCTCTTATCACAAATAAAGGTAACTGTGAGATAATGGATATATTAACTAGCTACATAGTGTTAATCACTTCACAATGTATACATATATCAAACATCATATTGTACACTTTAAGTGCATAAAATATTTGTGAAGTATACCATAGTAACACTAAAATCAACAAAACAAACTATGCTTGAAAGAAAACAACAAAAGACTTTACCAATCTGCTTGCTATGGCAAAAGCAGGTGAAACTGGACAAATGCTGCACAGTACTCTCCCTGGAAGGTGGTACTGAAGCAATGAAGTAAAGGAAAAGCATCCCGGTGAGCAGTATTTTGAGGATTATGTTAGGTTTTCCATTTCATGTGGAAAGAGAAATGGCCTGAGTTATGGGTCCACAAAGATTCAGAAACGTGGCTAACGGATTTGATAAGATATTGAGGAAATTGAAATTTAAAACTGGAAAAAAGATTACAAAGCAGTTGGAGTGGTATGGATATCCCAGACTGAGCACAAATGCAACAGTTAGTTTCCACTTAAATGCCTGTCAAAGAAAATCTGCTGCAGAGGAGGCTTGCAGAAATCTGGTCAGCAACATGAACTATATTTTGGATGTCAGTCAGGCTTTTTTTTTTTTTTTTTTCTAGTCACCTTTGTAGTCACTGTGGCAGAGACGAATACTTTACAAGGGCTCAAAGAATAAAATCTGCCCTTCACCATGGCTGCTCTAGCTACTGTCAGTGCTCAAGGTCCAAAATGCCATCAGCAATGTCCATCATTGACTCCCTAATGTGGCACAAATAGCTAGGGAAACCAGCCAACATCCCTCTGCCAGCTTACTTCGTTGCAAATCTCAATGTGGTGAAGACAGCACCTGGACATTATATTATATATTCTGGTTATATGATTGTCCCAGTACTTTAGTCTTATTTATTATTCATGGGAAAGGATCCACTGCCATGCTATCATAATCATTGTCATTTCTGACCAGGGGATATCTTTTCTAATGAATAAAGTACAGCAAATCACTCACCACCATAGAATTCAGCGCTATCAGCAAATTTCCCATCACCTAGAAGCTGTTGTCTAGATAGAACATTGGAATGGCCTCCTAAAGGGTGAGTCATGGTGACACCTGAACATACCACCCTAAACACTTGGAATGCTTTCTTCTATATGTTTGACACACAGTAAGTGCTCAGTAATTTTAGTCAACATAAACCTTGTGCCACATATATTGATGACAGATTATCTTCACACTGATAAACATTCCCCATGCAGCCTAATCAATGTCCTTCTCCATTTCAATATACACAAGATCCAATTCTACATGTTCCTATGATTATTGTCATTTAAATTATCTAGATTCGTAATTTTTAACAAAATTAATTATTTTCTTCTAGAAAAGGATCATATTTCCTGCTTGTGCTATAAGTTTACCTGAACCTAAATATTAACCTGGATGCAAAGAGGGACTGCTCTGAGAAAGGGCATGAGTCCTTTATTGAGGTGGATTTCTGCAATGTTTAAGACACTGAAGGGGCTATCATCTGAATGCTGTCTACTAACAGAACACCCAACAACTGGAAAAATAAATTCTTCTTTCCTAAATGAAGGGCAAGGCAGAGCCTCTTCATATAGACCATAATATAGCCCTTATGCCACTTGAATTTATATATTCTTATACATTATCAGAAGAGCTCCTTTAGGATTCTCTTACTTGAGGGGAGCTAGAAGAGAAAGGTTCCATGACAAACTATGTCTCTTGCAACTGCAGCTGATCTCAGAGATGCAACTGCTATTTACCAACTTCTTCCTTATCAATTTTTTCCCGTTTCACCTTCCGCTAGCATCTCTGCAGATCTATAACTTATTGAATGGGATAGTCCATACTTTCATCCTCAAAATGTCTCGTCCCTGTTCATTATACCCATTCAGGAAAGGACTCCTGCACTTTCTCATTTATTATCACTATTGGAAAAGGAAATGTCAAGATGTGCTCAAGTAAGTCAACTAGAAAGAAAAAAGTATTATTTCTTGCAACCATTGTGTTATAACATCTCCATTCCACATCACAATCAGGTCAATTACCTCTGCCACAGTTGTGAGAAGAGCGCTCTCTAAATCAATACAGATAGCCATCCTTCTTGTGATAGGAGAGCCAGATTTAATCCAATATTGTGACTCATGGGACAAAATAAACAAAGAAAAGTGTTCTTTAAAAACATAATTGGTCCATTTCATCAACTCACCTTGAATATTTTCACAATATTGCGCAGTGCAATTATGCTAACCAATCAATATTGTTATATTTCAAAAAAGTTTGAATTCAATGTTCTATCATTTGAATCAAAAACATGCTAACTGAAACAGCTTCATTTTAAATGTGTTTATGGAATGGTTTTAATTTACAAGTACTTTCATGTACTTTATATTTCAAACAGCACCATATTATTTTAATTGTTATAAAATTGTAACCTGTCTTATTCAGAATGATTCATTAGTCTTTCAAAATTTTAATTACAAATCTTATATCTTTGGGCTTCCAGATCAACTTTTAGGATTAAAAGAATATCCAGAATAGTTTGCTTTTGTGGACAGAAATGCAACATATGGTTTCCGTTTTCCCCAAAGATATATTCTTAGCATAATGCCATAATTTGGTGAAATGAAACTTAGACATGAACATAACTGAAATAAATTAATTCATTACTATGATAATATTGTAGTAGTTTCTTCCTCAGAATAAGCAATGTGGAAAAGTGTGGAGACTACAGTAAATATTAGTGTTCAAATGTGATTGATCAGTCTAGTCAACAAACAGAGCATAGACTAATCATGCAAGATTCTGGGAACAGCATAGTTCGTGACCATCAGAGACATTTCACAGACCTTAGCAATTATACCACTAGATCTCCAACATACAGTGGTAAGAAATAAATGACAAGGGCTCTGGAAGTCTCATAATGGGAAGTTACTCAAGCAATGCCATTAGACCCAAGAACCTTAATGCACAGTCATTTTTAGAATTTTATATATATATCTATGAACATATGCAGACTGGAGACTCTAGCAGAAAGCTACTCCTGCCACCCTGTGATGATTATTGGGATCTGGGTTTCAATAATTCCTGACAGAGTGTCCAGAGGAAGCCCATTGGAAAGGCAACTACTGATAAGTTTTTGGGATTTCAGAGAGACACAACCTAATGTCATTAAGGGCATAGTGTAACAAAATATCTTAATAAAATGGAAATAGTATGTATAGAAACATATTTAGGAGGCAGCTCATATTCATAAGCATAACTTTCAGAACAAAAGGAACCTTTCACAGAGGTTTCCACTCCTGTTGCTCAGTGGTATGAATGCAATTATACATTTCCAGTTTCAAAGATATGTGTGAGTATGGTGCTTATATATTCTACAAAGTCTTCAAGTAAATCACACTGAAGAAAGCACCATCGCCTTCCCTTGTGAACAGAAGCACCTATTTTAATTGCCTAGACCTCTCTTTCCCCATTGCATGCTGGGCATGTGGAATAAATTCCCTGTCTCAATAGATCTGTAAATACAGAAAAACCATAATTTAAAAAGTGCACAATAGAAACTCTACCCATGGAACCCATCCACACTCATTCTAGATATAGAATTTGAGATCTTGAACATTCAAACAGATGCCATGGTGAGATAACATCTCTTTGAGAAGGGAGATTCTAAATCCTGCCTTCCCAACCTAGTATACCTGAATTGTCCTTAGACGTCTAACAGTATCACAGCAAATATGTCATTTACTTATACCTCTACTAAAAGAAAAGGAACACCCGTATCCATTTTGTTTTTTTTGAGATGGTGTCTCACTCTGTCACCCAGGCTAGAGTGCCGTGGCACGATCTTGGCTCACTGCAACCTCCACCTCCTGGGTTCAAGTGACTCTACTCCCTAGCCTCGTGAGTAGCTGGGACTACAGGCACGTGCCACCACGCCCAGCTAATTTTTGTATTTTTTAGTAGAAATGGTGTTTCACCATATTGGAGAGGGTGGTCTCAAACTCCTGCCCTCATGATCCACCTGCTTCGGCCTCTCAAAGTACTAGGATTACAGGTGTGAGCCACTGCACCCAGCCACAACACCCTTATTCTTACTATAGTTTAGTTTTTACACCAGAGTTTTTTCACAGCAATTCTCACCTCTAAATTTCTCAGTGTGTATATTAATGGATTCAACATGGATGTGATAATTGTATAAAACACAGTCATGAATTTATCAATAGGAAAGTTTGAATCAGGTCTAACATAGATGAAAATACAGGGATCAAAAAAGGGGACACAACAGTAATGTTGGAGCTGCAGGTAGACAGGGCTTTATGCCCGCCTTCCTGACTATAAGTTTTAAGGGAGTTTAGGATGACTCCATAGGAGATTAGTAGAAGGATGAAGATGACCATACAGACTGCTCCACCATTGGCAATCACAGTGAGGCCTATAAAGTAAGTGTCAGTGCACACCATTTCCAATAATGGGTACATGTCACAAAATGGTCAATGACATTGGGGCCACAGAAAGGGAGACTGTACACAACAACAATTTGAAACATAGAATGCAAAAACCTCCAGTCACAGCCACCATAAACAGGAGGATGCAAACCTGCCAGTTCATGATGGTCAAATAGTGCAGTAGCTTACAGATGTCCACATAGTGATCACAGGCCATACCCACCAAAAGAAAGACCTCAATACCACCAAATGGGTAGTTTATAAATAGCTGGCCCATGCAAGCCAGGAAAGAAACAGTCTTTTTTATCACAGAGTAAGTCTATCATCAACTTAGGGGAAAAGGAAGTGGAATATACAGCATCAATAAATGACAGGCATGCGAGGAAGAAGGACACTGGGGAGTCCAAGGAGGCGATGGCAATAATGGTCACCACAATGAGAAGGTTGCCCACCATAGTCACATTGTATGTGAGTAAAAACATTACAAATAATGCTTTTTGCACATCAGGATCCTGAGAGAGGCCTGGGAGGACAAATTCTGTAACATTATTACTTGTTCCCATTTACTCTTCTCTAAGGCTCGTAATAGAGTTGAGAGCTCAGGAGGGCAGAAACTGTAATGAAATAGTGAACAGGAACATGAATGCATCCATAATGTCACAAAACACACTTTCATCATTGTATCCTCAATAGTTATTTACACACATGATCAACATTGTGTAAGTCTCTATTGAGTTCCTCATCTCCTCAAAGATTTTATTTTAGCCTGCAGGTGACAGCTTCAGACTCTAAGTTTTAGTGAATATTCTGTACAGAAGAAGAGTTAAAAGCCCAATAGCCATTCATATCTTTCATACCTCTTTATTTAAAATGTATTTCTTGGCATGACTGTTAGCTATGTTGAAGAGGCAACAGAGTTTTGGTCTTAAGAAACTTACTTTATGGTGGTGGTAATAAACTCTAAATAAGTAAATTGGCATAGATTCAGTCCTTTGTGTTTGTAGTTTTGTGGTATTTTTACTTTATGATTGGTGTAGCATCAAAAACAACATCCTCTAAAATATATCACTCAGGACTATGGAATTCCACTATTAGACAATGGGCCTTCATGCCTTAAATGATGTTCAGTTTTTATGAATATCTCATTAAACATCAAGAGAATGGACATTAACCTGTATAAATAGTAAAATATTATTTATCACATTATTCCCTGTAGCAATTACTTAGTCTGACTGTCTTTTCACCTTATAAGGAGCTATAAGTCTCTAGATCATATCCTTGCCTGTTTCATATTTTTTTATCACACTTACAACAATATCCTGATTTTCAGCATCTAATTTTGAACTTGAGTGAACTAGATCATGATTATCATCAACTGCCTCTTTAGCAGTGAGTATTTTTTTTCTGAATTCTTGGGGTAAACAAGATAGTGAGAGAGGAGAAAACAGACACTGTACAAAGAGGCACAGAACAGGGGACATGGTTTTATTTATAACACTATTTAAATACTTAGAGCACTCAAAAATAGAACCTTATTGTCCAGATTCCCAAAAAAAGCATACTAGAAGACAAATTCCAAATTCAATATAAGACGGATGAATTTCAGTCATTTTCTGAATGCATTAAAAATCTGTTTGTGTTTTCTTACTGAAAAACGGTATGATTAATTTAGATAAACTGAGAATCCTTTATAGTCAATCATCTATTAAACTATTAGTGCACCTCTCCCTTATTCTATTCTGCTGACTTTTTTCATTTTTCATATATTTATAATTAAATAGCAATTTCCAAGCTCATGACTGTTACATGAATAATGGTAGTCAGTGCTAGATGTGTCATGATTAGTGTGGGTAAATAATGACTACAAATTTTTCACTCAATATGCGTCAATTTAAGATTCAAGATATCCATGGAGAGAAAGTATAGCATGTGGTGAATAATGTGGACATTGGAGCCACACACCCCTGCTATAACCCCAGCTTCACCACTTACTGTGTGACTTTGGGCCACTTACCAAACCTCTTTATGCCTCACTATGATTTAAGAACTCTTAGGGATGTTTTATTACAACAAAGTAAACTGCCTAGAACACTGGCTGGCACCTCGTAAAGGCTCATAAATGGTATCTATTACTCGTATTCCTGACTGCTTCACTGTGAACACTGGATCAGAACTCATCATCGGGATATGTCAATTTGAAAAGATTTATAGACATAGTCCAGGGAAAAAACCAAAAGACACCTATAATTCAGGAAAGGCTTTTGGGGAACACAACATAATTGTTATGTCTTAGGAACTATCTATTTAATTATGCATGAGTAGTGAGTTTATCTTAATGAAACATATCTTGACAAGATCAGGCAGAATTATAGTAGAAAAGTAGGACCCCTCATCAGAGGTAGAGCTGTATGGTAAAAATGAAAGAAAAAGGGGTTAAATATGAAAACAGATAGTGTGATGCCTCCAGCTTTGTTCTTTTGGCTTAGGATTGACTTGGCGATGCGGGCTCTTTTTTGGTTCCATATGAACTTTAAAATAATTTTTCCAATTCTGTGAAGAAAGTCATTGGTAGCTTGATGGGGATGGCATTGAATCTGTAAATTACCTTGGGCAGTATGGCAATTTTCATGATATTGATTCTTCCTACCCATGAGCATGGAATGTTCTTCCATTTCTTTGTATCCTCTTTTATTTCCTTGAGCAGTGGTTTGTAGTTCTCCTTGAAGAGGTCCTTCACATCCCTTGTAAGTTGGATTCCTAGGTATATTATTCTCTTTGAAGCAATTGTGAATGGGAGTTCACTCATGATTTGGCTCTCTGTTTGTCTGTTGTTGGTGTATAAGAATGCTTGTGATTTTTGTACATTGATTTTGTATCCTGAGACTTTGCTGAAGTTGCTTATCAGCTTAAGGAGATTTTGGGCTGAGACAATGGGGTTTTCTAGATATACAATCATGTCATCTGCAAACAGCGACAATTTGACTTCCTCTTTTCCTAATCGAATACCCTTTGTTTCCTTCTCCTGCCTAATTGCCCTGGCCAGAAGTTCCAACGCTATGTTGAATAGGAGTGGTGAGAGAGGGCATCCCTGTCTTGTGCCAGTTTTCAAAGGGAATGCTTCCAGTTTTTGTCCATTCAGTATGACATTGACTGTGGGTTTGTCATAGATAGCTCTTATTATTTTGGGATATGTCCCATCAATACCTAATTTAGTGAGAGTTTTTAGCATGAAGGTTGTTGAATTTTGTCAAAGGTCTTTTCTGCATCTATTGAGATAATCATGTGGTTTTTGTCTTTGGTTCTGTTTATATGCTGGAGGCATCACACTACCTGACTTCAAACTATACTACAAGGCTACAGTAACCAAAACAGCATGGTACTGGCACCAGAACAGAGATATATATCAATGGAACAGAACAGAGCCCTCAGAAATAACGCCGCATATCTACAACTATCTGATCTTTGACAAACCTGAAAAAAACAAGCAATGGGGAAAGGATTCCCTATTTAATAAATGGTTCTGGGAAAACAGGCTAGCCATATGTAGAAAGCTGAAACTGGATCCCTTCCTTATGCTTTATACAAAAATCAATTCAAGATGGATTAAAGACTTGAACGTTAGACCTAAAAGCATAAAAACCCTAGAAGAAAACCTAGGCATTACCATTCGGGACATAGGCATGGGCAAGGACTTCATGTCTAAAACACCAAAAGCAATGGCAACAAAAGCCAAAATTGACAAATGGTATCTAATTAAACTAAAGAGCTTCTGCACAGCAAAAGAAACTACCATCAGAGTGAACAGGCAACCTACAAAATGGGAGAAAATTTTCACAACCTACTCATCTGACAAAGGGCTAACATCCAGAATCTACAATGAACTCAAACAAATTTACAAGAAAAAAACAAACAACCTCATTAAAAAGTGGGTGAAGGACATGAACAGACACTTCTCAAAAGAAGACATTTATGCAGCCAAAAAACACATGAAAAAATGCTCACCATCACTGGCCATCAGAGAAATGCAAATCAAAACCCCAATGAGATACCATCTCACACCAGTTAGAATGGCAATCATTAAAAAGTCAGGAAACAACAGGTGCTGGAGAGGATGTGGAGAAATATGAATAATTTTACACTGTTGGTGGGACTGTAAACTAGTTCAACCCTTGTGGAAGTCAGTGTGGTGATTCCTCAGGGATCTAGAACTAGAAATACCATTTGACCCAGCCATCCCATTACTGGGTATATACCCAAAGGACTATAAATCATGCTGCTATAAAGACACATGCACACGTATATTTATTGCGGCATTTTTCACAATAGCAAAGACTTGGGACCAACCCAAATGTCCAACAATGATAGACTGGATTAAGAAAATGTGGCACATATACACCATGGAATACTATGCAGCCATAAAAAATGATGAGTTCATGTCCTTTGTAGGGACGTGGAGGAAATTGGAAATCATCATTCTCAGTAAACTATCACAAGAACAAAAAACCAAACACCACATATTCTCACTCATAGGTGGGAATTGAACAATGAGAACACATGGACACAGGAAGGAGAACATCACACTCTGGGGACTGTTGTGGGGTGGTGGGAGGAGGAGGGATAGCATTGGGAGATATACCTAATGCTAGATGATGAATTAGTTGGTGCAGCGCACCAGCATGGCACATGTATACATATGTACTAACCTGCACATTTTGCACATGTACTCTAAAACTTAAAGTATAATAATAATAAGAAAACAGAATAATTATAATAAATAAGTTAATATCAACAGGAAATAACATTAATAATAATGTGATAATTGAGGCAAATATTCTTCAAAAAATTTTCTTCAGAAATATTTTTTTCATAAGGAAATAATGGAAGCACAGCCTCCTGTGGGTCCCTGGGGAGAGTCAAGAGGCTTCTTGGGGTAGCCAAAAAACACAGCCCAGATCATAGTAAACAAACAAAAAAAAAAAAAAAAAAAAAAAAATGAAAGAAAGAAAAAAAAAGAAAAGAAGAAAGGAAAAAAAAAGAAAGAGAAGAAAAAAGAAAACTCAGAAGAAAAGCAAAACACATAGATTTCTCAAAGTCTCTAGATCTGATGGTTAAGGACAAACTTAAATGACAGACAACAATGGGAAAAGTAGAGATACAAACCCAAACTTTCTGATAATTCACTGGTAGGAAAACTGAAGAATTACTACACCTCAAATGTAGATAAAATGATTCCATTTACATAGATCTGGCAGTGGAGGAGGATGTGTGCAGAGAGAGTTTGAGCTTCCTCTAAACACCAACTGCGCTGAACATTCCACATGTCTCCTTCACATTACCACTTCCAGCTGATTCCACAGTTCTATCATATTGAAGCTATAGACCGATAGAGACACACCTGCTAAGAAACACAAGTGTATAATGAAGTTATAGCCATTCTATTATTTTTTAACACCTTACTTCCTGCAAGGCTTAGGGCCTTTTCTCCATTTCATTGTCAAAACTAGATTTCAAAACGATAATTCTATTTTGCAATTTAATGTTTAATTGTAAAAACTAGAACATGTAAACTACACTTTATATTTAAAAAAATTTAAAACATAATACTTTAAATAATTTAAAATATAGTACTTTAAATACTGAAACAGCATTAGTAGGCTTTCAATGTAGACTTCTAAGTTAACATTTTTCTAGAAAAAAAGACAATATACTTTCCTGAGAACATGACATTTTCAAAAGATAAAATTCCATAATAACAAAAAAATCATATATTTCACAGTCACAGTTTTATAAAACTATTTATTTTTTTATTTTTTTATTATACCTTATGTTTTAGGGTACATTTGCACAACGTGCAGGTTTGTTACATATGTATACATGTGCCATATTGGTGTGCTGCACCCAGTAACTCATCATTTAACATTAGATATATCTCCTAATGCTATCCCTCCAGACTCTCCCCACCCCACAACAGGCCCCGGTGTGTGATGCTCCCCTTCCTGTGTCCATGTGTTCCCATTGTTCAATTCCCACCTATGAGTGAGAACATGCAGTGTTTGGTTTTTTGTCCTTGTGATAGTTTGCTGAGAATTATTGTTTCCAGCTTCATCCATGTCCCTACAAAGAATATGAACTCATCATTTTTTATGGCTGCAGAGTATTCCATGGTGTATATGTGCCACATTTTCTTAATCCAGTCTATCATTGTTGGACATTTGTGTTGGTTCCAAGTCTGCTGTTGTGAATAGTGCCACAATAAACATACAAGTGCATGTGTCTTTATAACAGCATGTTTTATAATCCTTTGGGTATATATCCAGTAATGGGATGGCTAGGTCAAATGGTATTTCTAGTTCTAGATCCCTGAGGAATCACCACACTGACTTCCACAATGGTTGAACTAGTTTACAGTCCCACCAACAGTGTAAAAGTGTTCCTATTTCTCCACATCCTCTCCAGCACCTGCTGTTTCCTGACTTTTTAATGATCGCCATTCTAGCTGGTGTGAGATGGTATCTCATTGTGGTTTTGATGGCCAGTGATGATGAGCATTTTTTCGTGTGTCTTTTGGCTGCATAAATGTCTTCTTTTGAGAAGTGTCTGTTCATATCCTTTGCCCACTTTTTGATTGGGTTGTGTTTTTTTCTTATAAATTTGTTTGAGTTCACTGTAGATTCTGGATATTAGCCCTTTGTCAAATGACAGTAGACTAGGTACCTTCCAGGGCACACATATCTACTAGCATGTTTGCTGGATAAGTAAAAACCCATATAATGCTTCTAAAACATAACATGCTTTTGTTCCTTTGCACTCTAAGACACTTGACATGAACCAGAATTTTAAATTCTCTAATCATATATATCTAAAAGTAATTGTACATCTTTATTAATACATCATGCAAAACAACTTCAGACTGGTTTATTTATTATACATGTAATGTGGAACATATTTCTCTTCTTATTTGGCAAATGGAAAAATACAACCAATTAGGCTGTATTTTAAAACCAAGTATACATTGTATAGTCTGGTAAATTTTCATATCTGCTAGCTTAATTTTTCCAATTAGAATTTATCTAATAAAGCCATGGGTTTTTAAGACACTAGCTATATTTCAACATATCAGAAGAATTTTCAATGCATATCTCTTGTCAGTGGTTTCAAACACTCACTTCTTGGTCCAGAAAAACAATGTTTCCTTCACTGAGGATTGCTGTAGATACCTCATGCATCTATGTGTTATCATAAAACACAAGAATATACATGGCTGATCCATGTATGTAGAATTAATTCCTAGTGGCTACAGTTTCCATAGTTTCACCCTGGCTTCTCATTATCTCAGTCTTTAGAGAAATATGGCACCAAAGCAGATGACCAAAATATAAAAATGCCTTAACATAATGTTAGTATTTACTGTAAAAAGGTAATCTAACATTCTCACCTGCTGGAAAATTTTTTCAGATAAAAACAACAGACTACCTCTGCATGACTATTTAAAAGTTGACCTAATTAGTGAAAATTAACCTGGACAAGACCCTTATTATGTGACACAAGTATCAACACTAAAATTTTTTACTTGAAAGTTTTCTAAATTTTGCTAAACCATAAGTCCTTTTCTGTGATTGAGGATTTATGATAATATTTATGTGCCCAGCTATTAAGCTTTGTACCTAACAAGGACAATGCTGAGATTTAACTTCATGGAGAATCCCGTGACAGAGATTGCCGACAGGCAGAAGCCAAAATCTTCAGTCTTTCAGTCATTCAACTGACATATCCCTAAGGCCACTTCTTTCCTAAGTAAAAGCATGTCTCTATATCTCCCCAATCTCATCCCAGGAAATTGAGCCTTTTCACTCATTTTTACAAGCAATGGTGGATATGAGAAGAAAACATTGCACGTAGCAGACCAGATACCAACTGAAGACATACTCTACCTTGGGCAGAAATTTATCTTTTTTTTTTTTTTTTTTTTTTTTTTTGAGACGGAGTCTCGCTCTGTTGCCCAGGCTGGAGTGCAGTGGCGCGATCTCGGCTCACTGCAAGCTCCGCCTCCCGGGTTCACGCCATTCTCCTGCCTCAGCCTCCCGAGTAGCTGGGACTACAGGCGCCCGCTACCACGCCCGGCTAATTTTTTGTATTTTTTTTTAGTAGAGACGGGGTTTCACTGTGTTAGCCAGGATGGTCTCGATCTCCTGACCTCGTGATCCGCCCGCCTCGGCCTCCCAAAGTGCTGGGATTACAGGCGTGAGCCACCGCGCCCGGCAGAAATTTATCTTTTATGATATGTACTGGGTTGTTCTATCAGGAATATAATTCTTCCATTTGATGTCTGTAGACACAGTCTATGACTTTCACATCAACAAATTTTAGAAAGAGACAATAAGATCATTATAGATTAGTTAATTAGAATATTTGGAACAAATTCAAATGAAGTAATCTCTCCGTAACCTTTTTCCTTAGAAAATCCCTAGAGGAAAAAGACTTGGCTCTTGCTAAGGAAAAGTAGCTAAGTGACAAATAATGTGAAATGCCTGTAATATGAAAAGAAAAATTCTAAAGTAAATTGAATAATAAATTATGAGTTTTATGTTATAAAATGTATAGGTAAGAAAAGTAATATTTCAGCCAGAATGAAAGAGAACTAGCCCCAGATTATCTTCTTTAAAAATATTCCCGGTAAGGAGGGCCTTATCCTTCCTGTTAGAAAGTCAGTGTCCAAGAAGCCCTGAGGCTCAGAGGCAGAGAACCTAAGAATGTAAGTTGATATTTTGATTATGGAAAAAATAGGTAATCGTAGTGCTGCAATTTTAGGTTAGAGTACTGGCTTTTGATCAAGACCTGTATCTATGTCAGATATAATGATAATGATCTGTAGTCCGTTGATATGTTTTGGCTGTGTCCCCAACCAAATTTCAACCAGAATTGTATCTTCCTCATTTTTCTCTTTCCACCACCATGTAAGAAGTGCCTTTTCACCTCCCACCATGATTCTGAGACCTCCCCAGCCATGTGGAACTGAAAGTCCAATTAAACCTCTTTTTCTACCCAGTCTTGGGTATGTCTTTATCAGCAGTGTGAAAACGGACTAATACATCCATTAATTTAATTTTTTAATTTTATTCATATATCAATTCAATAACTTTCTACAATAAAGAAATTTTGATTTTCAACAAATGAGTAGTGTTTAAGGGCTTCCATTGTTATTTCTGTGACTTGGCGCACCATTGGCTCCATTGAACACCTTCATCTCATCATACATTTAGTTAAATATTGGATCTTTGTGTCATAGCAGACTCAGATAAAGAGTCTCATAAATATTTCTGTGAAGTAGCAAAGGTTTTTATCATGTAATGGGCTCCATTAAAAGTTGGTTATTTTCAACTTACCTAATAAATGGATTAAATTCATCCACCACAAATGTAATATGTATTACTGCTAAAATTTGAAGAGCATGTCTATAAACACTGTGCTGTTTTACTGGTAAGTGCTAAAAATGCACATATATATCTTTAATTCTGAAGAACTATCAGATATGGTCAAAGGTATTTTGGTTTAAATTATGACTCCAAGATAAAGAACTAATATAAAAACAGGACGTAATTCTCTATGTCCCTTCCAGCTGAATTCAAATAACTACTAATACCAACACCCAGTGTGGCAGTGGATCCTTCCTCAGCCAAGCCTTCATATGAGCCAGTAGCCCCAAAGGCACCTCGATTACAACTCTGTAAGAGTCTTTGAAGCTTTGAAACCTGCTAAACCATCCTTAGTTTCCTGGCCTACAGAAATTATGAATGAGTACATATTGTTTGAATCACTACGTTTTAAAATAATTTGCTATGAATTAAGTTTTAAAATAATTTGCTATGAATGAATAAATAATTCATAAATATGTCTAAGATATGCTTCAAATATTGGGAAACCTGCCAACAAATATTTAGTCAACCTATGAATCCAGGAGAAAGGTATACTGGAAATAACCAAGTATTTAGAACTAAGCAATAACAAAAATATATCAAAATGTGTGAAGTATGATCAAAAGAGTGCTTAAAGAAACACGTATAGCTATAAATGCTCTCATTGAAAATAAATTTTTAAAAGCAGCCATCTAAGCCTTCACCTCAAGAAGCTAGAACAAGAAGCCGAGGTAACTAAACAAAAGGACATAAATATAAGATCAAAACCAATAAAATTGAAAACATAAAATAGAGAAAAGAAAAATAGCCAAAATGGTACTTTTATTATGACATTGATAAATAGCAAGACTGATCAAGAGAAAACAAAGAGAAATTCAAATTACCAGGATCAGAAATAATAAAACAAATAATCAACCCATAGATATTTTAGACTTTAAAAGTTTAGAAAAGTATTGTTATGAAATACATTATTTTGATTAGTTTGACAGCTTAGAGTAATTAGGCAAAATGTAGGGAAAGGACAACCTTCCTAAACTGATACAAAGAGAAACTGAAACACTGCTATATCTTTCAAAGTAATGAGCTATCCTTACGTGTAGATAACATGATAATGGTTCAGAAAACCCTAAAGAATCTATAGACATAATTATGTAGGAATAGGAATTAAATTTAGGAAGTTTACAGGACCCAACTGTCAAATAAAAAATTTGATTTTCTTTATATACTAGCAACAATGACAATTGGAATTCTTTAATAAATAAAAACTTGTGAGGAAACATGAAAGCATAAATACTTAGGAATAAAGGAGGAAGATCCTTACACTAATAAGAACTACAAAACTCTTCAAGAATGAACATTTAAAATACTTAACGGACATATTGTATTCAGGAAATAGAAAAACCAATATTGTGAAGTTGTT